>NC_000013.11:71286893-71438409 GCF_000001405.40 Homo sapiens | reverse complement strand
AATTTTTTCCCTGTTTTAGTTATACAGGTTGGTTTGGAAATTTGTGTTTTGGCATAAACAAGTAAAATGTGCCCATTTTATGGTTTCCATGCTTTTGTAATCCTAAAAATATTAATGTCTAGTTGTTCTATATTATAACCACATTTGCGCTCTATGCAAGCCCTTGGAACAGAACATACTCATCTTCATGTAGGACCTATGAAAATTGTCTATTTTTATCTATATATTTAAAGTTTTCTAAAAATGATAAAAGGTTATTACGAATTTTGTTGTACAAAATCTGTACAAAAATCTGTTTTTACATCATAATGCAAGAATTGGAAATTTTTCTATGGTAGCCTAGTTATTTGAGCCTGGTTTCAATGTGAGAACCACGTTTACTGTTATTGTATTTAATTTTCTTTTCCTTTTCAACAATCTCCTAATAAAACTGTCTGAAATCTCCCTGTGACTTTATTTACAGTTCATCTTTATTAAATTTTGTGAAATGCATAGCATTGAAGGAATATTTACTTTCTAATGGGAGGCATCTAAAAACAACACAAGTCAGCTCTTTGCAATGCAAGGGGAACAATGCTCAATGATTTTATTTAACATGCAACTGCTTCTATCTCTAATATGAATTACTGTGGTGAAAAACATCATAAAAGCACACTCTGTAGTTATTGTTTAACAAGCAGATTTTCCATATTTTGTTTCTTGCCAGCTAAGCAAACTGCCCACATATACATGATTTATTTATGTACATTTCTCAGTTTATGAAGCTGTTATTTGTACCTTTTTTCTTTATATTCTTATATTCCCATGATTCTTATTTCACAAAGCTTTGTGCTGAATAATGCAAAGTAGACATGTTGATGGAACAAAATATATTATTCCCATATCTATGAGTGGAGATTTGTAACTCTAACTCAGTGTTTTGCTTTTGATCTCTATCTTTGGAAAAAAAATGCCTTTAGAAACTTTGAAATTACAATATCCTTTAATAATACATAAACACTTTAATCAATCAAAAGTGCAGCATTTGAAGAACTATCGGGTTGCTATCTCTGTGAATATTCTAAACATTCCCAAGAGAAAGGAAAATGAATTTTTCTGTCTAAAGGTATGATTTTAATGAATTCTTGAAACAGTATATTAAATTATGATTTTTTTCCTTAATAAAACCTAAAACGTTTATGATGTGACCATTACAAGCACATTTTTGTCTTCTGTCATCAT
This sequence comes from Homo sapiens, assembly GCF_000001405.40. NCBI lineage: Eukaryota > Metazoa > Chordata > Mammalia > Primates > Hominidae > Homo > Homo sapiens. The sequence goes on along the minus strand of NC_000013.11, from coordinate 71,437,188 downwards.
ATGTTTATGTCAGTAAGACTAGCACTAGAACATCATGCAGTCTCTGGATGTTAGTGAAACTCAGTGATAATTTAGGTTTGCCCCCATGTGTTTTCATTGAGACTAGCAAATTTATAATGTTCACAAAAGCTATTTATTACTAGAGGAGAGTATCTTATAAATATGTTATATGGATTGCATTTTTAAAATATGGGAAATAGAGATGTTAATAGAATCAAAAAGCTGTTGTAAATTGCCTTACAAAAATATCTTTTCCTTATGTGCAGGCTTGATGGTAACATTTATCTTTACTATATGACTTGTATATAAAAGCTGAACTTATCCTCATTTATTCATTTAAGCAAATTCATGAATAAAGCCTCCATTCTACACAAAGCACTGCACCAGACGTTGTAATGACTGAAGTTGAAAGCTTATAATTTTGTTGGAATGAGGAATCTTACTTTCAGGAAAATAAGATTCATTGAGCATTTTTTTTTTTGCTCTGTAGTGGAAATAGAACTGGCATTAAAAGGGTATTGCCATAGACACCTTTCTACTAGGTGGTAACAATCTAGTGACCCATTTTATACTTTAACCTTCTAAAGAACAGAGGTGATTTGGGAGTCAAGCAATTGGGTAGGAATTGAGAAAAAGGAAAGATATATTTTCCCCTATGTAAAACAGCCTATTAGTTATTTTTTTCATGTTTGCTCATTTATTTCAATCACATAATTCTTATCAATGATCACAAATGTTATTTTAAGGTAAGTAGCCTGTGTAATTACAGACCAAAAAAAAAGTTATCAACAAACAAAAGTTCCTGATATGTTTAGACTATTGCATATAGATATACAATATTTAATATTTATCCATCAGCATCAGTATATAGAGTAAGTAATGGCTTAAAATGATTCAAAGAGCACAGAACATAAGTTCCTAAATGCCAACTGAGTGATTTAGGTAATGGGTGACATTTGTAGTGGTAGCATCATTTACATTTAGAGATTAATGAGCTGAAGATTTTGAGCTGAACAATTTGATCAGTTAGGACTCTTCTGGTGGGATATAATAAAAACAAACTTTTGCAAGATTAAAGAGCAAAGAAAATTTGTTATAAAGACAGAAAGGTGCACATGGACCCCAAGACAACAACGCAGTCAGACCCCAGGGACCAGGGACCAAGGACCTTCTTCTACCTTCACTTTTCTGCTCTTTTCAGTGACTCTGCTTCTTTCTCCTCTCATTGCAGACACACTTGCTTCTCTTGTTCGTCACTTGACTCTTCTATTATTCAAGAGCATAAGACCCAGCCCACAGGAATGAACAAATCCTTCTCTCTGTCTTGTCCTAAGTCAGATTCCCAGAGAGTTCTGATTGCCTCGGGTCAGAGCACATGCCAGTAAGGTACCTTGGCAGTACATTAGATGAGTTTAGGGAATTTTAGAAATTATTGTGTCTAATTAAATTTGAATCTCTGGGGGTGAGGCTAGGGCATCAGGATTTTCAAGTTCTTCAGGTGATTCTAGCAAGCAGCTAAGTTTGCAGACCACTGTCTGGGAGATTGACAAATATTACATTATAGAAAACAATTAGTGGAGGTCCTGCTGTGGGGCAGAGAAATAGCTGGAGATGAATAAGTGTGCAATGTGAGCTGTGCACTCACACTACTAATGCCAACTAATGGTTCTGTAAAATCAATTAAATATTTTTGAAAAGTAATTTTAGCATTTTGAACTTAATTCTGAATTAAATATGAATTTGCAATACGAGGAATGCAATGATTTTTTTCTAAATAAAATTGATAAATCTGACCCCAGTTCCAACTGCGCATGGAGGTAAAAATTCTATCTCAGTCATTATTGATTCACCTTTGCTCTGAATGTCCTAAACATTCTTCTCAGTTCATCCCATTTGGGGAGAATCCTTGGTTTTTCATGCCTAGGATTAGCATGTGAGAAGCAGCCCCAAGCCCTTCTCAGAGAGTCTACAGGTTTGCGGAAGCAAAAGTTATGACATAGTCTGGTGTGATTCTCAATGTAGAAAGGGTAAATATTTAAGACAATTATATTAATGGGGGAGTGTAAAGTCGGGCAAAAGGAGGTAATGTTTTTATACGTAGCTCACACTGGAAAAATGTCAGTCAATTCAAGTAAACTGTGGTAAATTCTGCAAATATAATGTAGTATCTACAGCAACCACTAAAAATGCTCTATTAATATACACACTCAAAAACACCATAGATTAATCAAAATAGAATTCTATGCTATGGTGAGGTTAGCTTGCAGAGAAACAGTAAATATCTTTGGGAGTTGATCCAGAGTGTTAAGTTACTTTGCTAGTAGTCTCCAGTTCTCTCGCAGGTATTTTGGTTGCTCTTCCATCAATGCTAATTGTGTGACAAACTTTGTCTACTACATTAGGCAACAGATGACCACAAGTTGGTTGATAAATCTCCATCACCGTGCATTATCCCTATTTTCTGTTTATTGTGTGTAGTCACTTTTGATAATATATTTTAAACTTCTGCTTTAAAAAACAAGCAAAGACTTAAATGGTAACTATTTAGCTATTAAAAGTTATTAATTTGGCTGGTCGCGGTGGCTCACGCCTGTAATCCCAGCACTTTGGGAGGCTGAGGTGGGTGGATCATGAGGTCAGGATTTCAAGACCAGCCTGGCCAAGATGGTGAAACTCCGTCTCTACAAAAATACAAAAATTACCCTGGCATGGCGGTGTGCGCCTGTAATCCCAACTACTTGGGAGGCTGAGGCAGAGAATTGCTTGAACCCAGGAGGCAAACTTTGCAGTGAGATGAGATCATGCCACTGCACTCCAGCCTGGGTGACAGAGGGAGACTCCGTTTCAAAAAAAAAAAAAAAAGTTATTAATTTAAAAATCCCCATTGTTAATTTCTACCATGAGTATGGGAGCTGGGAGAAGATTGTCAGCACTTTTCTTACTAACTCACCTTGTGGAATTTATAAAGAAAAAGATAATCACAATGAGTTGGATTTTTCAGCTAAATTCCTTTGGTTATCATGTGCCTGGGTTCATGTATGCTGAATGGTTTATGGCTCCTTCCATTATATATTTTGATGCTTTTTAATGTATGTATGTTTTACCTATGTTCCCCCCCCCACAACACACCGCATATGGCTACAGGAAGACAATAGGTCCATATCAGAGCCAAAATAATAGTAATAATAGTGGTCAAGAGATCTTGGGAAATGAAGGTCCCTGCAGTATAGAACAAGGCAGGGCAAGACCAGAGAAAATGATCAAAGAACAAACAGGTAAATGGTGTAACAGCACAATGTATTTTTAGGGGAGAAAGGTGGAGAGAAATTTTTTTTTCCCCCTGAGACAGGGTCTCACTCTGTCACCTAGGCTGGAGTGCAGTGGTGCCATCACGACACACTGTAGCCTTGACCTCCCTAACTCAGGTAATCCTTCCACCTCAGCCTCCAGAGTAGCTGGGACTACAGGCCCACATCACCATTCCCGGCTAATTTTTGTAATTTTGTAGAGACAGGGGGTCAATAAGTTGCCCAGGCTCGTCTGGAATTTCTGGGCTCAAGTAATCTGCCTGCCTCACCCTCCCAGAGAGCTGGGATTACAAGTGTGAACCACCGCACTCAGCCAAAAATTCTTAATTGACTAACAGAAATGATAATTTAACATTTAGATATTATAGGTTTTAAAAGCTGACTGTGATTTGGGGGACACCCCCCATTCCTGGGGAATCTTTCACCTGCAGTTGCCTTGAAGAAGCCAGATGCACTTCCATTTTGATGGGTCACCTAGCACTCCTCTTTTATCTGCTGAGCTTTCACTATTAGGCCTAGCTATCTTCTGTTCATTCTTGAATCTGTACCACATGCGTCCACAGTAAATACTCCAGCATTATTACTTTGATAGACACTGGGAATGTTGAAGCACTCCCCATAATGCAGAAAACGCTCTGACTACCTTTTTCAGAGCAACAAACCAGACACATATTGCTACATTAAAAATTCAAGCATTAAACAGACACTGGTCCTCTGTGTCCACCAACCTGTAGGGGACAAATTGGGTTCTTTAAGTGGTCCCATTGAGATCTCTTCTCTAGACTTCAGATGAAAGACAGTTATTTTTCTCATCCTCTAGGTGTTTGAAGTAACTTGAACCAAAAGAGACCCTCAGCCCTCACCAACAATCATCTTATTACCTCTGATTCTTTATCCTACCTCTTAAATTTGTTTTACAATCTGGAGGGGGTGGAAAATGAAGGACACAATATTAGTTTCTAAATATCTATTTGCAAATTCTGATGATGATCTTGCATCTTGCCTTGGGATGTGGTATCAATATTATTTATTTATTCATTTAAAAATATTTTTAAATGTTTTGAGATAATTGTATATTATAGGCAGTTATAAGAAATAACACAGAGACATCCCATGAATTCTTCCCTCATTTACCCTCCAGGTGAACTATTGCATAAATATAGTACAGTATCACAATTGGGAAATTCACATTGATGTCATCTACCAACAAGATATCACCTGTTTTACATGCACTCATTTGTGTGTATATGTGTGTGTTTAGTTATATATTTTATCAAGTTTGTAGATTCACGTGACCATCACCACAGTCAAGATACAGAACAGTTCCATCACAAGGATTCCCACTATTATATTTTTACTGCTACAGCCATCAACTTCTCTCCCTATTTCCCTGAACACTGGCAAATGCCTAATCTGTTTTCCATCTCTATAATTCATCTTCATAAGAATGTTGTCTACATGGAGTCATACAGTCGGACACCTTTTGAGATTGACTTTCTTTTACACAGTGCAATGCTCTTAAGATCCATACAAGTTATTGACTTGTCAGTAGTTAATTCCTTTTTATTTCTGAGTATTATTCTGTGGTATGGATGTACCACATTTCGTTTAACCATTTATCTTTTGAAGGACAAGTGGATTGTTTTCAGTTTGTGGTTTTTATGAATAAAGCTCTATGTGGCCGGACGCGGAGGCTCACGCCTGTAATCCCAGCACTTTGGAAGGCCGAGGTGGGCGGATCAAGAGGTCAGGAGATCGAGACCATCCTGGCTAACACGGTGAAACCCCGTCTCTACTAAAAAATACAAAAAAAATTAGTCGGGCATGGTGGCGGGCGCCTGTAATCCCAGCTACTGAGGAGGCTAAAGCAGGAGAATGGCGTGAACCTGGGAGGCGGAGCTTGCACTGAGCCGAGATTGCGCCACTGCACTCCAGCCTGGGCCACAGGGCAAGGCTCCGTCAAAAATAAAAAATAAAAAAGCTCTATGTATATTTATGTACACTTTTTTTGGTATCAGTTTTTATTTCTTCACTCCCAAGAATGTAATTGCTGTGTCATATGGTGATTGCATGTTTAATTTTGTGAGAAACCATCACACTCTTTTCCAGAGGGGCTGTGCTGTTTCACTTTCCCATCAACAACGTATGAATGACCTAGGTCAGGCAGAAGCTGAGTTCTTCTCTCTGCCCATTGACACAGGGCACTGGAGGAAAAGAAGCTCACACCACCTCTTTCTGCTTACTTGATGCAAGGTGAATACCCCCACTGTGCCCTAATGACATGATTGAGGTGGGTGATGAATCTAAGTGGTAGCTAGTCCTGTCTTGCCCTGCCTCATTAAGTTTCATGGCTACCAGCAGGTCGGGGTGGAGGCTCAGCTAGCCCCAGCCAGCAGAGGGAAGGAAGATTAGCTCCCATCTGGTTGTTAACAGTGGGATCACAGCCTACCTCCTGCTTATACAGATGGGGAAGTGGTGTGGAGGGTGGTGGCATTGGGTGGAAGATCAGCTTTTCACTTGCCCCACTAAATGTGGAGTGTAGTTGGCTGTGGGGAGTGACTTTTCCATTGGTGCTTGGCTGTAGTTGGTTGTGTATGGCCAAAGAGGTTGTTTTGTTTGCCCACCATTTAACTGGTCCTTGGGGTAAGGAAAAAGACTGACCTTAGAGAATTTTATGTTTGGGTCTCATTGCAGCTCTTGCTTGGAGACTTCTGCAGGGCTGTGTGATACATGGGAGGCAATAAGGAAACCCAGGGAAGTCACGTCGGTATCATTCTTAAGGCTTGAGGCCCCTAGGCAGTCCGCATTCTTTCCACCTTTCAGAGACCCTCTCTATGCTTGTTTGTTGTCTTTTTGTTCAGAGTTCTTAGTTGTAAAAAAGGATCTGGGAGGAACAGTGCTATTCTCTTGGCCAAAACCAGAAAAAGAAGTGACGTCCCAGGTTTTTGTTTTTGTTTTTCCAATCTCAGTTAATTTTGTTTTGTTTTGTTTTAGTCTCGTCACATTGGAAGGGCAGAACTTTAACAAATGAGATCATATGGCATTATTACTTGCTAAGATAAATATTTAAAGCAATCATGACCAGAAACCAACACAGAATCTGCAAGATATCAAAATGTTTGTTATTTTAAAATATGCATTTATGTGATAGTACTATTTTGCAAAGTAGGTTGGGCATGATCTTGTAGTTAATGCGCAGGCATGTTTTATCATGAATTATTTCAAAGCCATAGAAAATGTGAAAGACTCACACCCTTTATCTAAGATCACTAATTGCTAATATTTTGCCCCATTTGCTTTCTCTCCCCTCTCTCTCAGAATGTGTAAGCAGCTGTGAACTATTTTTAAAAACATATTTAATATATTATATTATTTAACATTATTTTTTATATTAAAATGACCCAAATTTGGCCAGCAGGAACTCCCTCAAGCTGGCTCTTGTGTCCTTTCTATGGGTCTCCATTAATTGTTGAGTATTTGCTTGCTTGGACCTCAATAAACTGTTCCAGCCTTAGCTAGTACTTTTTTAACTGCTTGAGACCTTAAAACACACTATTTCAGCCAGGCACTGTGACTCACACCTGTAATCGCAGCACTTTGGGAGGCCAAGGTGAGCAGACAGCTTGAGTCTAGGAATTCCCAACCAGCCTGGGCAACATGGTAAAACCCCATCTCTACAAAAAAATACAAAAATTACCCCAGTATGGTATGGCAACAAGACTGTGGTCCCAGTTACTCAGAAGGCTGAGGTGGGAGGATCTCTTGAGCCCAGGCAGAGGAGGTTGCATTGAGCAGAGATCATGCCGCTGCACTCCAGCCTGGGTCACAAAGTGAGACCCTGTCACAAAATAAATAAACAAACAAACAAACAAACAAACAAAAACCCAGCTATTTCTTTAAAGAGTCTTAATTGTGAAACTTCAGCAGAAAGTAAGACTGATGTAGTTTCATATTACATAAGGTTAAATATAGTTGATTTTAAAAATTCACACTGAAGATCTGTTTCTAGAGGATTCAGTAAGTTTATATTTATTTCTAGCATTTTAATTATTTTTATTTATTCTAGTTTTCTGGGGTTTCTTTTTATTTATTCATTTTTTAAAGGCTGTGATTCGTCATTTGGTTTATTCTTCCCATAACAGCTTGGAAATCATACATCATACACTCTATTTCTATTTTGTTAGTAGTTATTCTTGAGTTTTTAAGAAGTTTACTTAATGTAGCAAAGGGTACAATATTTCCATACATTTATTTTTTTCCAAAAAATACCAGGCCCCTGAAATGCCTTCATTCCATTTCCTCTCTTGATGTTTTCAGATGCTCTTTTATTTCTAATTTTCATTTTTTCCTACAAGAACTTACTATTGCTAGTGGTTCGTCATTTTGTGTTTATATTATTATTATTCTTTATATTCCTTATTGTATCTCTGACTTCCTGAGTCATTTTTTTTGTTTGTTTCTGAAGATTATGTTCAAAAGTTTCTTTCCTTAATGGAGTTGTATAAGATTCTTTACTTTTTGGTAGTCTTAAAACAGCTTTATTTTTCTCCTCTTCTTTGACAAAAAATAAATTTGCTTAATGTTCAATTGGATTTTGCCAGTAATTTTCTCTTAACAATTTTTATATTCTTCTTGCTGGCTTCTGGCACCAACTGGTATTATGAAAGTGTAGTTTAAATATTGTTATTTGTAGGCAATTTGTCGTTTCTCTCGGGATTCTTTTAATAACTTTTATTTGTCTTTGGTGTTCTGCAGTCTGAAAATAATTTGTATAGGTGTGGACTTATTTTTATTTATTATATTTGGAAACCACTGGGCTTCCCAAATAGTTGAAGAGATATTTTTCTTTAATTTAGAAAATTCTAAGACATTATGTCCTCAAATGATGCCTGTGTCTATTTTTCATAATGTTTACAACTTTCTGGAATTCCAATGTAATTCTGTGTGAGACATTTCTACTTTAACTTCCAAGTTTCTTAACCTTCATTCATATATACTATTTCTTTATCTGTACCTTATTCTATGTAATTTTTCTGATTTCTCTTTCAGTCTACTAAATATCTCTTCAGATGTATATAGTTTGCCATTTAACGCTACAGAGAATACTCAATATTATTATATTTTCATTTTTTAGAAGTCTACTTGGTTTTTTTTAGACCTTCTAAGTTGCTCTTAGTGGGTTTTCTTTATCCACGTGTTTGGTTCTTTCTTTTATTTCTTTATATATTATATACATTATTTACCTATAGTTGCATACTTCTATATCTATTTATTGAACAATAAAGACATATTTTGTTTCTGAGAATTCCAATATTTTGTGTTATTGAGGTCTGATTCTATATTCATTATTTCTGTGATCCCCTCTAATTTCTTATTTCTTAATAATATAAAAATTTTGATTTTGTAGAGTTAGATAGAAGGAATAAATTCTAATGTTTGATAGCAGAGCAGGGTGACTATAGTTAATAAAAAAGTATTATGTATTTCAAAGTAGCTAGAAGAGAGGACTTGAAATGTACCCAAAATACAGAAATCATAAATGCTCAAGGTGATGAATATCCTAAACACCTTGACTTTATTACTACTCATTCTAAGCATGTAAAACATTATATGTACTCCATAAGTATGTACAAATATTATGTATCAAACAATTTTAAATGTTGATTTTGAACTCATGTTCATTGGAACTTTATCTATGGGAATTCTTGAAAATCTTGTTTGAGACTCTAATGCTCCATGGAGAAATTTTTTTTGCTTCTGCTAGATACCAGGGGCTCTCTTAACTAAAATCTAAATTTAAATTAACTTAAAATTCTTTTAGTTCATGGAGATAGTGCAAGTTTGAGGGTAAGTTTATTGTCCTAAATCTTCAAATGAGATTCCTTTCTTCTTTACCAAGAGTTACAGCTCATATATATTTTTTTTCTGACATCTACCTTTAAGAGATGGATTTTTACCACTTTAAGTTTTTAACTTGTATAGACTTTCTGATTCCTGGGTTTATATGAAATTCTCCACTCAGACTTTATTTCCCATATGCCATAATCATGACCTTTGAAACTGAAATTCCAAGTTACCCATGGATCTATAGATGGCTCAGAGACAGATATACTTTATATCCTTCCTCTTTATCAGATTTTCTTTTTTAATTTTTAAAGAAAAGAACCTTTCATGGAACCTATGCTTAGTCATCTGACCATTTTTAAACATTCTTATTTTGCTCTCTTATGTTCCTGTCACATTCAACTTGCTTGGCTGATACTGAAACTTTGAAACTTTGAAATTTTCTGCCCAAAATTTATAATTTTTTCCATTAAGACTTTTGTTTATAATGCTGGAAATTCTACTCCCTGTACAACATGGCTAGGCATTCCTTTCTGTCCCAACTTTGTCTTGTTAGCTCTTTTTAAATCTTAATTTTGGATCAAATCAGGTGCCAATTTCTCAGGTAGCATTTCTTAACAATTCTTTCTATCTAACTTAGTCAACAAAGGCCACAACATTTCTTGGCTCTCTCACAAGGCAAGTGACTACATGATTACATCTAAAAAATTGATTATAATGCTTTTTCTCTGATTTTTTAATAATATATGTCTTCAAGGAAACAAATTCTGTCTTGTTATATTTGTTGTACATCAAGCTTTGTGAATGATTTCTTGTATTTGATTAACAAATGTTTGCTAAAATAATTATGAAATTATAAACTAACTGGCCCTAAAAATGTTCTATCATTTAATATAATCCTGTATTTTATAGAGGAAAATGTTTTTAAGACCATTGGGCATTCAATGGTCTGAACTGATGGCTTATAATACTCAAGGCACTTTCACTAACTGTTGACAGAAAGCTCACATCAAATTTTCTTCGGCTAAAAAGGGGAAGCATCTCTCAAATTCAGGGTTTTGGTAGCATCTTTTATAGTTCAAATCAGGGCCTTAATAAAATAATCAAGATACTTTTAAAAAAGTTATCCAGTGAGCATTTCTGTTTTCCATCACTTTCAAGATTCATACAAAAGTACAATTCCTTTTAGCAATGATGCTATTGTATGTACTTAGATTCTATTTAGGTAGAAAAATAGAATATTTCTTCACCAACAGTGTGGCTAAAATAGCTCATTTTTTTTAACCAAATAAACACCGTCTCTTTTCTTTCTGTAATGATGTTGTGGATAAGTTTTTCCAGGTCTATAGCTTCTAAGTAAGAGCATATGACTGAATTTTAGTCAGTAGATTTAAGATAGAGTTAATGTATGTCACTTGTAGGCCTGGCCCATTGAAACTTTCCACATATTCTTTGTATTCTCTTTTCTTGCATGGATGCTGCCATCAGAGCTACAGTAGAAAACACATTTGATGACAAAATGGCTTGCACTTGCGCATTTCCTTAAATGCGTGTGTGAAATATAGTCCTCCTCCCTGCCCTTCCGCTTTCCACCTGTTTATTTGGGTAAGAAGTTATTTCTATTTATTTAAAGAAAAGCACTGTGGCTGGGCGCAGTGGCTCACACCTGTCATCCCAGTAGTTTGGGAGGCTGGGGCCGGCAGATCACCTGAGGTTGGGAGTTCAAGACCAGCCTGACCAACATGGAGAAACCCCATCTCTACTAAAAATACAAAATTAGCAGGACGTGGTGGCGCATGCCTTCAATCCCAGCTACTCGGGAGGCTGAGCAGGGAGAATTGCTTGAACCCGGGAGGCGGAGGTTGCAGTGAGCCGAGATTGCCCCAGTGCACTCCAGCCTGGGTGACAGTGACACTCCGTCTCAAAAAAAAAAAAAAAAAAAAGCATTGTCGGAACAATTAATAATTATTATGAAAACAAAATAGTTATTTGTTTGGCTTTTATTATTTAAATCTGTTCCTGTGTCTATGCTTGAGTCTCATAGCTCTAGAATTAGAAGAGAATTAAATCTATTAAAATCACTTTACATAAGAATGGGAGAGGATGAATTATTTACTGTGGACATACTGCAATATTTTTACCAGAAAAAAGTGAAATGCCAGATTGTCGCCACTCAATAGCCAGTGTGATTGTTGAGCGGTGCGTCAAATAAGTAATATTTTAACTTTATTTTTTAAATTTATATTTTTCATGACTAATTGACACATATTATCTCATTTGACCACATGCCCTTGTGAACTGTACAATATAGGCCATCTTATTCACATTTTACAGTTGTAGGCATGAAGTTGAATAAAGTTTAATAAATTTCTGTTTACTAAGTGTCTCTGAATTTAAATGAAGCAAATTTTTGGTTCATTTGAGGTTATATGTGACTGTGATAAAATAAGTGAAACTACATAAGAAATGCATGAAATCTCTATTTGCTGACTCCCCGTTCTGTGGACTTCCTGTCCCCTCTATATTCTTGCATACAAAATTCAAATAACTAGTGAGGTTGAAAAAGTAAGCAAAAGACAAAGGCAGAGATGAAGAAGATGAAGAAAAGATGAAAAACATAATGCAAGAGTGACATGTGCAAGATGGTAGAGTGGGGGAACCCAGCCTTTGTCCTCCCACAAAAAACAATTAGGCATTTATTCACAAATGAAAAAGTAATCTCTGGGTGATCTCAAGAGTTAAGAAGTTACACAACAAAGTGGAGCAAAAAGATGGGGAATAACCACACAAAATGTAGGAAGAACAGTTTCCTTCAGCCTGTATCATTTTATTCCCTAGGCAGGCACAGCTTAGCATCAAGGGGGAACACTGGTTTTTGAGTACCCCTAGTGAGGAGAAGAAGCACACAGTGAGCAATCAGCTTCCCAGCCTTTCAAGGCACTGCCCGGGGACACACTTCAGTTTCATCTCATCCAGATCACTGGGAGATAGTCATTGCTGAGACATCTGGAGACAACTAGGAGCAAAGAAGGATAGGGCTATCATTATCAGCCAAGCAGCAAGTGCTATCACTGTCCACACTGGCTTGCTTTCCTTTGCTGCCGAGGAACTTAATAGCCATTACCTCTGCCATAGACCCTCTGGAGAAGGAGACACCAGCACATCCTCCTGGAGAAGGAGCCACTGCTGCACCACCCTGAGACTCTCTGTAACTATATACAACTGGATGGGATGGTTGTCCCATGTGTGCCCATGCCCCAGATACCAGCTCCACAGCCACTCCATAAACACCTGTGCTTCAAACACCTGCACCACTACCACATACTTGCTCCTTAAACACTAGTGACAGTGCTGCAGCAAGTGCACCCATGTCCTAGACCCAGGGGCCTCAGATGTGCCCGTGTACCAGACCATGGCTTCCTGGCAGCTTCATGTGTGCTCATGCATTAGACACACATCCCACACTACTACAAATGTATTTGTGCACCAGGTCTCATGCCAAGAAGGATTCCCATTGGCCTTGGCCTCCCCTAGTCAAGGAAAAAGAGGACAAGAAGACCCTAGCAGACATTGCCACCAATATGGACACCTGAAGCCTTGACCACCAAGGGCCCCTGCAGTTTTCACCAATTGACCTCAGCTAATGAAACTGCACAGAGATTGTGCCACTGCATCCTCCCTAGAGCCATAGCTGCTACACCCTTCCCAGATGGTGCCCTCAAGCCTACCTGTAATTGAAGGTCTTTCTCCATTAAAATCAGTCTACAAAGTCTGGGAGAGGTTACTGTCTCCTCAAATACATGGACATTAACACAAGTCTATAAGAAATACAAAATATCAAGGAACATGACACCACCAATGGAATGTGATCATTTTTTAGTAATCTATTCCAAGGAAATTGAGATATGCCTAAGTAGGAAAAATAATTATCGTAAAGAAACTAAGCCACAAGAGAACATAGATAGACAACTAAACAAAATCAGGAAAGAAGAAAAATCCCCAAAGGATGCAAATAAGTTCAACAACCATAAAAAAGCAAAATAGAAGGAAATTCTAGAGATGAAGAATACAATGACTGAAATAAAAAGTTCAAGAGAGCTCCAACAGCAGACTTGATCAAGCAGTAAAATCAGTTAATTCAAAAACAGATTATTTTAAATCTCGCTGGTTAAGGTAAACATATAAACATAATATAGATTACTGTAACAATGTGATGGTGTTGTATAACTGACTCCAAATACTCCAAATCCTAATATAATTAAAGTTAAAAGATCAAAATCTGTTAATTAATATATAATATTAAAAGAAGTCACATTCTGATTACAAGAACAAAAATGGAGGTTAGTAAAAGTATAGCATTTTGTGTGTGATTAAAATTAAGTTGTTATCAATTTAAAATAGAAGGTTATTTATTTATTTATTTATTTATTTATTATTTTACTTTAAGTTCTGGGATACAAGTACAGAATATGTAGGTTTGTTACATAGGTATATGTGTGCCATGGTGGTTTGCTGTACCTATCAACCCATAATCTAGGTTTTAAGCCCCACATGCATTAGCTATTTGTTCTAATGTTCTCCCTCCCCTCACCCCTCCACCCACTAACTTGTTCCAGTGTGTGTTGTTACCCTCCCTGTGTCCAGATGTTCTCATTGTTCACCTCCCACTTATGAGTGAGAATATGTGGTGTTTGGTTTTCTGTTCCTGTGCTAGTTTGCTGAGGATGATGGTTTCCAGCTTCATCCATGTCCCTGCAGAGGACATAATCTCATTCCTTTTTATGGCTGCATAGTATTCCATGGAGTATATGTACCACATTTTCTTTATTCAGTCTATCACTGATGAGCATTTGGGTTGGTTCCATGTTTTTGCTATTGTAAATAGTGCTGCAATAATGATATGTGTGCAAGTGTCTTTATAGTAGAATAATTTCTATTCCTTTGCGTATATACCTAATAATGGGATTGCTGGGTCAAATTGTATTTCTTGTTCTAGATCCTTGAGGAGTCACAACACTGTCTTCCACAATGGATGAACTAATTTACATTCCTACCAACAGTGTAAAAGCATTCCTATTTCTCCACAGCCTCACCAGAATCTATTGTTTTTTCACTTTTTAATAATCACTATAAAATAGAAGGTTCTAACTACAAAATATTTTATGCAAGCCTTCATCTAACCACAAAGAAAAAAAAATACCCTGTAATATATAGAAAAAAGATGAAGAAGAAAGAATCAAAGCAAATCACTCCCTCCAAATAAAATAAAATACAATAAAAAAATAGCAAGAGAGGAAAGAGGGATGAAACAACTGCAAATAGACAAAAAAAACACTGATAACAATCTAGCTGATGAATAAATTAAGAAAATAATCTCATTTAGAATAGCATAAGAAAGTATTCAGGAATAAATTTAACCAAGAAAGTAAAATATCTGTACACTGAACACTATAAAATTTTGATGAAAGAAATTAAAAAATACAAATAAATAAAAAGATATACTATATTAACGGATTGGAATAATTAATATTGTTAAAATATCTGTACTACCCAAAGTGATATACAGATTCAATGCAATTATCTTAGTCTGTGCTGCTATAACAAAGTATCTGAAATTGGGTAGTTCATAAAGAACAGAAATGTCTTTCTTACAGTACTAGAGACTGGGAATTCAAGACCAAGGTGACAGTAGATTTCATGTCTGGTGAGGGCTGTTCTCTGCTTCCAAGATAGCACTTTCTTGCTGTTTCTTGCTGTATCCTCATGTGTCAGAAGTGGGCAAAAAGTGAAAATTTGTTCTCACATTTCAGAAGAGATGAAAGAGACAGGAAGCTTTTTAACCTTCTTTCATAAAAGCATTACTCCCTTTCATGAAAGTGGGGTTCTCATGACTTAATCACTTCCCAAAGGCCTTGTCTGTCAGTACCACTACAAGAGGAATTAAGTTTTAACATGAATTTTGAAGGGACACAAACACTCAAGCCATAAAACAATCCTTACCTAATTTTCAATGGCCTTGTTTACAAATTTAAAAAATTATAAAATAGTATGAAACTACAAAACACCTTGAATAATAAGTTCAATTTTGAGATGGAAAACAAAGACATCATATTTCCTAATTTCAAATTATATTACAAGTCTATAAAAATCAAAACAGTATGGTAGAGGTATAAAAATAGACAACAATAGAATAAAATAAAGAGCCCAGAAATAAACTTGAGCAATAGGGTCAACTAATTTTCAACAAGCCTGCCAAAAAGACACAATGTGAAAAGATATTTTCTTCAATAAATTGTACTGGGAAAACTGGATATACACATGCAAAAGAATGAATCTGGACCCTTATCTTACACCACAAATAAAAACAAACTGAAAATGAACTAAAGGTCTAAACATAAAACCTAAAACGTAAAACTCCTAGAAAAAAAAAACATAGAGGAAAAGCTTTGTGACATAGGCCTCAGTAATGATTTGGGGGGCTTTATGCCAAAAGCTCAGAAAACAAAAACAAAAATTAACATGTTGAACTATGCCAAACTAAAAAGCTTTTGCACAGCCAGGAAACAACCAATAGAATGAAATGGCAGCATATGAATAGAAAGAAATGCTTTGCAAACCATGTATTTGATAAGGTGTTAATATTTTATACATACAAATCACTAAAACTCAATAGCAAAAAAATGAATAGCCTAATTAAAAAATAGGAAAAGTACCTGACCAGATTTTTTTTCAAAGAAAAAATAAAAATGGCAAGCAGGCACATGAAATACATAATGGTTTCAATATTACTGCGGAATCATCATCATTAGGGAAATGCAAATCAAAACTACAATTAGACATGTGTCATATCTGTTAGGATATCCATTATCCAAAAGACAGGAGATAATAAGAGTTGGTGAGGATATGAAGAAATTAGAACCCTTGTTCATGATTTGGAAAAATGTAAAATGGCGTAGATGCTATTGAAAGCAGTATGATGGGGTTGCCTAAAAAAATAAAAATAGAATCACTGTATGATGCAGCAATCCCATTTATGAGTATATCTCCAAGGAAATGAAATCAATTCATCAAAGTGGTGAAATAAACACTCTCATGTTTATTTCAGCATTATTTACAATAGGTGAGATAAGAAAATCACCTAAATATTTATTGGTGAGTGAATGGATAAAAACACTGTAGTATAAATATTCAATGGAATATTATTCAGCCTTGAAAATGGAGAAAATACTGAATCTCAGGGACCTTATACCAAGCGAAATAAGCTAGGCACAGAAAGACAAATATTGCATGATCTCACCTATATATGGAATCAAAAAATATCGAACATATAGAAATATAGAGTAGAATGGTGGTTACCAGGGGATGGGGAATGGGATCTGGGGTCATGAGGTAAACAGTTTCAGTTATTCAGGATAAATGACTTCTGAAGATCTAATGTAAAACAGTGTGACTATAGTAAACAATATCATACACTTGAAATTTTCTAAGAAAGTACATCTTAAGTGTTCTTAAAATTGTGTATGTTTAAGGTTTACACTTAATGATTTGATATATACATACATTGTGAAATATTCACCACAATTATGCTAACGAACTTATCCATCACCTCACATAGCTATCTTTTGTTTTGTCGTTTTAAGAACATTTAAGATGTACTTTCTCAACCTTTTCTTTTTTTTCCCATCTTTGCCTGGAACATTCTCCAAAATAAACCATATGCTTGGCCATAAAGCAAGTCTCAATACATTAAGAAATATCTACATCACATCATGTATCTTCTTGGATGACAGTAAAATAATATTATAAATCAATATCCAAGGTAATTCTCAAAATTATAAACATACATGGAAACTAAACAATGTGATCCTGAGTAGTGTTTTGGTCAGTGAGAAAATTACAGCAATAATGAACAAAATTTTTGAGAGAAATAAAAATAGAGACATAAGATGCCAAACCCCCTTGAATACAACAAAAACAATTTTAAGTGGCAAGTTTATAGCATTAGATGTTTACACAAAAAGAAATATCTCAAATTAACAACCTATTGTCGCACCTCAAGGAACTAAAACAAGAAACCAAACCCAAAGCTAGCAGATAAAAATAAACAACAGCTGAGATCACACCACTGCACTCCAGCCTGGTGACAGAGTGAGGCTCTGTCTCAAAAATAAATAATAAATAAGTAAAAATCAGAACAGAAATAAATAATATTGAGACCAAAAAATTACAAAGGATCAACAAATGAAGTTTGTTCTTCAAAAAAGGTAAATTTGATAGACTGCTAGCAATGCTCACTAAGACGAAAAAGAGACTATTCAAATAAACACAATCAGAAATGATAAAGGTGACATTACAACTGATACCACAAAAATTCAAGAAACCATCAAAGACTACTATGAGCATCTATTCATGCAAAAAAAGAAAACCTAGAGGAAATGGACATTTTCCTGGCAACATAAAACAAGATTTAAGCTAGGCAGAAATAGAAATCCTGAAGAGACCAATATGAGTAATTAAATTAAATAAGTAATAAAAAGTCTTCCAACACGCAAGCTCAGGACCAGAAGCATTCACAAACGATTTTTACCAGATGTATAAAGATAAGCTAGTACCAATCTCACTGACACTATTCCTAATAATTTAGGAGAAGAACTGTCTCTTTAATTAATTCTATAAAACCAGTATCACCCTGTGTATTAGTTCATTTTCATACTGCTATGAAGAAATTCCTGAGACTGGTTAATGTATAAAGAAAACGAGGTTTAATGGACTCACAGTTTCACATGGGTGGGGAGGCCTCACAATCATGGTGGAAGGCAAAAGAGGAGAAAAGTCATTTCTTACGTGGCAGCAGTCAAGAGAGTATGTGCAGGGCACCTGCCCTTTATAAAACCATTAGATCTCATGAGACTTATTCACTATGATGAGAACAGCACAAGAAAACCCCACCCCAATTATTCAATTATCTCCCACTGGGTCCTTCCCAAGAACCATGGGGACTATGGGAGCTACAATTCAAGATGAGATTTGGGTGGGGTCACAGCCAAACCATATCACTCTGATACCAAAATCAGACATGGATACAACAACAACAAAAAAGACAACTGCAGGCCAATATCTCTGTTGAACATAGATTCACGTATCCTCAACAAAATACTAGCAAACTGAATCTAGCAGCACATCAAAAAGATAATAGATCACAATCAAATGGGTTTTACTCCAGGGACACAAAGATGGTACAAAATATGCAAATCAGTAAATATGATTCATCCCATAAACAGAGTTAAAAACAAAAACCATATGATCATCTTAATAGATGCAGAAAAAGCATTTAATAAAATTCAATACCACTTCATAATAAAAGCCTTGAACAAACTGAGCATTGAAGAAACTCCTCAAAATAATAAAAGTTACATATAACAAACCCATAGCCAATGTCACACTGAATGGGGAAAAACTGAAAACATTCTCCCTAAGAACTAGAACAAGACAAGGATGTCCATTTTCACCACTCCTAATCAACACAGTACTGGAAGTCCTAGCAGAGCAATCATGAAAGAGAAAGAAACAAAAGGCCTCCATCTTGGAAAAGAGGAAATCAAATTATCTCTGCTGATGACATGATCTTATACCTAGAAAACCCTAAAGACTTTTCTAAAAGATATCGATTCTTGGTAAATGACTTTAGTAAGGTTTCAGTACACAAAATCAGTATACAAAAGTCAGCAGCACTTGTATACATGAATAATATTCAAGCTGATAACCAAATAAAGAACTCAATTCCATTTGTAATAGCTACACACACATACACACACACACACACACACACACACACACACAAATACCTAGGAATACATTTAACCAAGAAAATGAAAGATCTCTAAAAGGAGAACTATATAACATTGATGAAAGAATTAGTAGATGACACAAACAAATAGAAAGGCATCCCATCCTCATTGATTGGAAGAATCAATATCATTAAAATGGCCATACCACCCAAAGCAATTCCTATCTAATTATCATGGTCATTTGTTTCACAGAATTAGAAAAAAAAAAAACCTTAAAATTTATATTGAACCAAAAAAGAGCCCTAGTAGCCAAAGCATTTGTAAGCAAAGATAACAAAACTGAAGGCATCATATTACCTGACTTCAAATTATACTACAAGGCTATAACAACCAAAACAGCATGGTACTGGTATAAAAATAAACAAGCAGATCAATCGGACAGAAAAGAGAACCCAGAATAAAACTATACACCTACAACCAATTTATCTTCAATAAAGTCAACAAAAATATACACAGGGAAAATGACACCATATTCAATAATAGGTGCTGGGAAAATTGGCTAGCCATATTCATAATAATGAAATTGGACCCTTGTATCTCACCATATATAAAAATGAACTCAAGATGGATTAAAGACTTAAATATGAGACTTGAAAGTATAAACATCCTTGAAGAAAACCTAGTATGAACTTTTCTTGACATTGACTTAGCCAAGAGATTTATGACTAAGACTTCAAAAGAAAATGCAAAAAAAAAAAAAGATATATGGGACTTAATTAAACTAAAAAGCTTTTGCACAGCAAATGAAATAAATGATCAAGAGAGTAGGACAACCTAAAGAATGGGAGAAAAATAGTTGCAAACTATGCATCTGACAAATGACTAATAGCCAGACTATTCAAAGAACTCAAACAATTTCACAAGGAAAAAACCAATAACCCCATTAGAAAATGGGCAAAAGACATTAGCAGACATTTCTCAAAAAAAGACATATACATAGTCAAAAACATGAAGAAATGCTCAAAATCACTAATCACCAGACATATGCAAATTAAAATTATAATGAGTTACCATCTTATACCAGTCAGAATGGCTATTATTAAAAAGTAAAGAAAAAAAATACGTTGGTGAGAATGAAGAGAAAGGGGAACATATGCACTGCTTTTGTGAATGTAAATTAGTACAAACTTTATGGGAAACAGCATGGAGACTTCTCAAAGAACAAAAAATAGAAATACCATTAGACCCAGCAATTCCACTACTGGGTATCTACCCAAAGGAAAATAAATTGTTTTATTAAAAAGACATTTACATTTTTATTTTTATCACAGCACTATTCACAAAGCAAAGACATGGAATCAATCTAAGTATCCATCAATGAGTGACTGGAATGAAAAAATGTGGTATATTTACAACATGAACACTTTGCATCCATGAAAAAAAATTCATGCATTTTGCAGCAACATGAATGGAGTTGGAGGCTATTATCTTAAGTGAAATAACTCAGAAATAGAAACTCAAATATTACATGTTCTCACTTTTAAGTGGGAGTTTGAAAAGGGTACACAGGGCACACAGAGGGAAATAACAGACACTGGGGACTCAAAATGCAGCAATTCCTCAGTGTCTGGGGAGGGTGTGAGTTTTGAAAAATCATCTTTTGGGTACAATATTCAGTATTCAGTTTACAGACACAGTAGGAGCCTCAACCTCACCATTACACTACATATATACATATATACATATATATGATTAAACTGCACTATATGCCCTGAAGCTGAAAATAAAATTTTAAAAATTGAGAGAATTCTAAAAACAGCAAGAGAAAAGCATCTCGTCATTTATAAAGGGGCTTGCATCAGACTAACAGCAGATTTCTCAGCAGAAACCTCACAGGCCAGAAGAAAATGAGATGATATATTCAAAATGCTAAAAGAAAATACTGTTATCCTATGACACTATACCCAGCAAAGTTGTTCTTCATAAATAAATAAGGAATAAAGTCTCCCTAGAAAAGCAAAAGTAGGAAATGCATCATCACTAGATTGTCTCTACTAGAAATACTTAAGGAAGTTCTATATCTCAGAACAAAAGGACAGTATCTACCATCATGAAAACATTTAAAACTATAAAACCCACTGGTGGAGCAAACACACAAATAAGGAAGAGAAAGGACACAAATTTTACTTCTATAGAAAAATACCTAACCACAATGATAAAGATTAAGAGGGAAAGAAAGAAACAAAGAATATGCAATACAACCAGGAATCAATTAATAAAATGAGGGAATAAACCCTCAAATATCAGTAATAGTCTTGAATAGAAACAGATTAAACTTTCCACTTAAAAGACACTGACTACTTAGATTTTTAAAAAATGATTCAATATATGCTGCCTACATGAAACATATTTTACCTGCAATGACACATATACACTGAAAGTAAATAGATGGAAAATGATACTCCACACAAATGGAATCCAGAAGTGGGCTGGAGTAGCTATACTTATATCAGATAAAATAGACATTAAATAAAAAATAGTTTAAAGTAAAAGATAAGACAGATCATTATATAACAATAAAGGGATCAATCTGGCAAGAAGATGTAACAATTCTAAATATATATGCACCTAGTGCTGGAGCACCCAAATCCATAAGACAAATATTGATCTGAAGAGAGAGATTAATACAATAATAGTGGGGAACTTCAACACTCCACTCGTAGCTTTAGACAGATCATCTGGACAGAAAATCAACAAAGAAACATTGGCTTAAAACTAGACTTTAGAGCAAAGGGGCCTAACAGACATTCACAGAACTTTTTATCCAATACACACAGAATACACATTGTTTTGGCACATGGAACATTCTCCAAAATAGACCATATTTTAGGCCACAAAACCAGTCTCAACAAATTTTAAATAATCAAAATCATGTCGGTTTCTTCTCCCCACAACATGACGTAAAACTAGAAACGACTATCAAGAGAAATTCTGAAAACCATTTAAATACATAGAAATTAAACAACACGGTCCTGAACAATCACAGGGTCAATGAAGAAATTAAGATGGACATTTAAAAAATTCTTGAAACCAATGGAAATGAAAACTCAACATACCAAAAGTAGTTGGATACAGCAAAAGCAGTATTAAGAGAAAAATTATAGCGGTAAACATCTGTATCAAAAAAGTAGAAAGATTTCACATAAACAACTTAACATGCACCTCAAAGAACTAGAAAAACAAGACAAAATCTCAAATTAGCAGAATAAAAGAAATAATAAAGATCAGGTCAGAACTAAATGAATAAAGACTAACAAAACAATACAAATGATCAACGGAATCAAAGGTGTATTCTTCATCAAAGACAAACAAAATTGATAAAGTGCTAGCTAGACTAATCAAGAAGAAAGAAGATTCAAAGTAAATCAGAAATTTAA
The DNA here is from genome assembly GCF_000001405.40 of Homo sapiens. Taxonomy (NCBI): domain Eukaryota; kingdom Metazoa; phylum Chordata; class Mammalia; order Primates; family Hominidae; genus Homo; species Homo sapiens. Next base: position 71,414,811 of record NC_000013.11, on the reverse strand, counting down.
AAGGAGACATTACAACTTTAACAGTCAGGAAATACAAAATATCATCAGAGACTATTATAAACAACTATAAACTCACAAACTTGAAAACCTAGAGGAAACGGATAATATCCTGGAAACATACAATGTACAAAGATTAAACCAGTAAAAATAGAAAGCCTGAATAAAACAATAATGAGTAGCATGACTAAATCAGTAATGAAGGGTCTTCCAAGAATGAAAAGCTCAGGACCAGATGGACTCACTGCCAAATTCTACCAAATGTATAAAGAACTAACACCAATTTTCTTCAAACTATTCCAAAAAAATGGAAGAAGATGGAATTCTTGTTAACTCGTTCTACAAAACCAGCATTACTCTGGTACCCAAGCTGGACAAGGACACAACAACAACAAAAATATGGGCCAATACTCCCAATGAACATAGACACAAATATCCTCAACAAAATCCTAGCAAACTGAATCCAACAACACACCAAAGGATACTGCACCATGATGAAGTGGGAATTATACCAGAGATGCAAGATTGTTTCAACATATTCAAATCAATAAACATGATACTTCATATAAACAGAATGAATGATAAAAAATACAAGATCATCTAAATATAAGCAGAAAAAGCACTTGAAAAATTCAGCATCTCTTCATGATAAAAACTCTCAACATACTAGGCATAGAGAAAACATACTTTAACATAATAAAGGCCATGTGTGACATACCCACAGCCAACGTCACACTGAATTGGGAAAAGTTGAAAACATTCTCCCTATGAACTGGAGCAAGCAAGGATACTTACTTTCATTTAACATATTACTAAAAGTCCTATCCAGAGCAATTGGGCAAAAGAAAGAAATAAAAGGCATCCAAGTTGAAAGAAAAAATCAAATTGTCCCTTTTTCCAAATGACATAATCTTATATTTAGAAAAACCGAAGGACTCTACCAGAAATCTCTTAAAGCTGGAAAACAAATTTAGTAAAGTTGTAGGATACAAGATCAACATACAAAAATTAGTAGCATTTTTACACACTAATAATGAAATAGCCAAAAAGAAATCAAGAATGCAATCCCATTGTCAATAGCTACTAAAAATAGAACACCTAATAATAAATTTAACCAAAAAAGCAAAAGATCTCTACAAGGAAAACCATATAACACTAATGAAGGAAATTAAATAGAACACAAACAAATGCAAAGACATTCTATCACCATGGATTGGAAGAATTAATAGTATTAAAGTGATTTTGTACTCAAAAGTCAGATTCAAGGCAATCCATATCAAACTATGAATGTCATTTTCCACAGAAATAAAAAAGGTCTTAAAATCAATATGGACTACAAAAATAGACAGGCTATTCAATACAATCCTGAGCAAAAAGAACAAAGCTCGAGGCATTATACTACCAAACTTCAAAATATATTATTTCAAAATATGTAGTAATCAAAACAACGTGGTATTGGTATAAGAACAGACTCATAGACCAATTAAACAGAATAGAAAACCGAGACATGAATTTTCTTTTCTTTTTTTTTTTTTTTTTTTTTTTTTTTTAGACGGAGTCTCACTCGTGCAGTGGGGCATTCTCAGCTCACTGCAAACTGCACCTCCCGGGTTCAAGCAATTCTCTGCCTCAGCTTCCTGAGTAGCTGGGATTACAGGTGCCTGCCACCACACCTGGCTAATTTTTGCTTTTTTAGTAGAGACGGGATTTCACCATCTTGGCCAGGCTGGTCTTGAACTCCTGACCTTGTGATAAACCTGTCTCTGCCTCCCAAAGTCCTGGGAACACAGGCGTGAGCCACCACGCCTGGCCATAAATTTTCATATTTACAACGAACTGATCTTCAAGAAATCTGTCAAGAGCATACACTGGGGAAAAGACACCTTGTTCAATAAATGAAGCTGGAAAAACTACATAATCATACATAAAATAATAAAAGTGAACCCCTACCTCTCACCATATAAAAAATTTAATTCAAGATAGATTACAGACAAATGTAAGACCCGAAACTATAAAACTACCAGAAGAAAACATAAGTAAAATTTTTCAGGATATTGATCTAGGCAAGATTTTGTGGTTAGATCTCAAAACCACAGGCAACAAAACCTGAAATATACAAATTGGACTATATTAAACTAAAAAGCCTCTGTATAGCAAAATAAACAATCAATAGAGTAAACAGACAATCTCTTGAATAGGAGATAATATTTGCAAACTACTTATCCAACAGGGGACTAACACCCAGAATATACAAGAAAATCAGACAACTCAACAGGAAAGAAACAAATAACACCATTAAAAAATTGGCAAAGAACATAAAAACACATTTCTCGAAAGAATATACACAAATGGCCAGCAGCTATAAGAAAAAATGCTCAACATCACTATTCATCAAGGAAATGCAAATCAAAACCACAATGGAACATTATCTTACCCCAGTTAGAATGGTTGCTATTTAAATAAAAAAAAAAAAAAGATGATGGCAAGGATATGAATTAAAGGGAACTCATACACTGTTGGTGGGAATGTAAACTAGGATAGCTACCGTGGAAAACAGTACAGAGATATCTTAGAAAACTAAAAATAGGACTACCATCCTATCCAGCAATCCCACTACTGGATATTTATCCAAAGAAAAAGAAATAAAACTATCAGAGGGATACATGCATTACCATGTTTATTGCAGCATTCTAGTATGCAATAGCAAGATGTAGAATAAATCTAAGTGTCCATCAACAGATGATAAAGAAAATGTGCTACATATACATAATGGAATACTATTCAGCCACCAAAAGAATGAAATAATGTTATTTGCAGCAACCTGGATGGAACTAGGGGTCATTAGCTTAAGAGAAATATACCACGCATAGAAAGATAAATCTTATCACTGACATATGGAAGCTGAATAAGTTGACCACATGGAGGTAGAGAGTTTAATGCATTTACCAAGGCCTGGGAAGGGTGTATGGGTGGGAGGAAGTGGCATGGAGAGAGTTTGCTTGCACATACAGTTGGAAAGAATGTTAAACTAATCTTTGATAGAAGGGTAGGGTGACTAGAGTTAATAATAATGTAGTGTACTTTAAAATAGCTAGAATAGGGGACTTGAAATATAACCAACATACAGAAAATGATGGATATTTGGGTGATGGATACCCTAAATACCTTTACTTGATTGCTACACATTCTATGCCTATAACGAAATTTCACATGTACCTCATAAATACGTACAAATATAATGTATCAAAACATTTTTAAAAATAAAAAATTAAAAAATGAACTATATTATGAGGAGTTGAATCCCTTCCACCCATATTTATAGTTTACAGCATCAGAGACTTTGATGCAAATTTGAATTATGCAACTTTGAAATAGCATACTTGTAAAATATGTATATAGTCTTTATATATAGAATCTGAAATAATGAAAAAAATAAATGTGGGAGAAAAATGAACAAAGTGAAGCAAACAGGAAGAAGAAGGAGAAAAAAGAGGACAAAGGGGAATGAGAATGAAAGGGGAAGGAGAAGTTAACTGATGTATAATTAACTGAGCCACAAAGTGTAGGAGGGAAAAACATAATACAACTAATGCTAGCACAGTTATGGGGAGAGTTTTGTTAGTTTGCAATGAGGGAAGATAAAAAGGCAGCTGTGGTTAAGGAGCAATATTAAGAAGTGGAAATATTGGGAAGGAGGATTTTTGTGTACATTCGTGTCATACTTTTAGGGCCCAGTGTAAGTACTCAAATTGTTTTGGCTATTAAAATGCTGATATTGTTAATGCAACTGTGTGCAGAAACTACAGTTTATGTTTACTATTGAGCGAGCTAAGCTTTGTTAGAATTAGGCATATTTGAAAGTTCATGCACATGATTGAAATTTAATCAAATAGAGGTACTTGTAAAATTTTCAATGTTTCTATCCCTGGTTTTTACAGTTAAATCCTGCAAATATATAGTCAGATATAATTGAATTTCTAATGGCGGTGGATTCCTAAAGAGAATCATTGTGTCTTGTAACAAAGGATACATTAAAAGCTTTGAAGGACCCTGAATCTGGTCAAAGTATATTTCAGACTTGTTGGCACAGTACGCAACCTATATTCGCATTATACTTTACAGGATCCTTAATTCAAATCTGATTGATTTTTTTAGCTGTTCCAATTTATTCATTGCCCAATGAGTAGTCATATTTGTAGATGAGTCTGCACTAGACACATTATTTTCTTGGCTTTTGAACAAACATAGATCAATATTAGGAAACAAATCTATTAAAAGTGTGTTCACTGTTGTTCAGTTATTATGTTGAATACTGATTATATGCCTGCTTCCCTTTATTCTTGTGCTTAGAAAAAAAAAGCCAAACAACTGTTGGAACTTTCTTCGTATACTCTAAAATGATTACAACTCTATATATGTGAAGAAGGTGAACTATGGTAAAGTCTTTACAAGCACATTCCTGGTTATATTAGGTAAAAAACGAACTATTTTATTTTCAAAAGTCTTCTCTTTGAGAATCTGAAATTTATTTTTAGATGAGAATTTTTAACATTACTTCATAATTTTTAGCCAATTTTCTGATTGATTTAATTAAACAAACTTAGGTACAACAATACATATATTAGTAAGAGAAAGAAACATTTCTGTAGGGAAACCATTATATAAATTGAAGATATTCCAGGAAATAATCCCAGTACAAGAACTGTGAAAAAAGCAGTCAGGCTGTAGCAACTTAAGTCCATAAAATACTTAGTTGAGCTTTAAGATTCATGTTTGTTAAAACATAATTTTCATATTCTTTTGGGTTGAAAAATTGGATATGCTATATGGAAAATGTATCATCAGCTGGGTTCCATAGACTCTGAAACAGAAATTTGCATGCAGTGTATTTGTTGAGATAAACTCTTTGGAACAACCACTATGAGAGTGAAGAGAACAGAATAGGGCAAACAAAGAAGTTGAGCTGCATTTGTGTCATGGGAAAGGCCTCAGCTAATCCCATGGGAATTGGGGTGACTGTGGAGTTTTACCACATAAAGACGAGGAGGTTGGGTTTCACACCACTGGTTTTATTGCTCCAGCTACTGTTATTACTGATTAATTTATCTCTTCAATCATGACTTCTATGCCTTTAGAGATACCATAGCATTCTTTTTTTTTTTTTTTGCATCTCTCTGCTTCTCTCGACTTAGCTAACTGCTTCTTGTCCCACATTCAAATCCTCAATGGGAGAGAATATTATTGTATTAGACTCTCACCATTCAAGATAAAGTATGTATCTTGGATAAATCTCCTGTGTAGGTCCTATTGTAGGTGGGTCTATACAAATGATTGCCTGTGAGTCTGTGATGTGTCCAAATTAATGATATCACAGGGCACACAACATGGTGATCTGTTTGTAAAGAACTTCCCAGAGGAGGGCTCTGGGCAAAGTGAGCAATCATAATCTGCTTAGTAGGGGTCAATTTAAACTTAAGTTTATTGCCTGGCTTGCTAATTTATAGTGATGATCCCACTCTAGATTTTCATGTCCCCATATATTTGACACAGCATGGGTTCTCAAATTTCATCATGCACCAAAATATTCTAGAAAGATTGTTTAAAATGAAGACACTTGGAACACTCTCAAGAGATTCTGATTAAATTGGTTTGGGGGAGGACTCTGGATTTGCATTTTTAATAAACATTTTCTATTCATTAAGTTTCAGATTGAAAATCATTCCAGTTAGTTGCAACAGAAAGAGGTTTAAAAGAGGCAGTCAGATGTTTACAAGGTTATTGGAATGGTTGGTGTACATGGCTCCAGGTTTAACTTCTAGGAGTAACCCTCTTAATAACACCTAGGAACTGGTCCATCAAAGGAGCTTCTTTACCTGTCATGATTAGGAAGTTAGGGAATTAAGCAATCGCTGTCACTACACATGCCAGTGAAAGGGATGGCAACACCTTCCCTGTTGGTACTGAAAAGCTATGAATAAACCATGAGACCTCTTAAAAAGTTGTCCCAGGAAAATCTGACCATATTCATAATCCTACCTGCAGTAGAAATAGGGGAAGCTGCAAGAGCAGAACCTCTGCTTCATGATTGTCATTCCCTTCTTGCAAATTCTCATGGGTGGATCTACCTGTAGAAGATAGGTCCTGTAAGAAAGCCAAGGTGAAGATAGTCTTGGAAAACTTGTCTTAACTTGTGGTCTGCCTTGAGTAAGCTGATCTAAACTGTCTGCCACATACCTCAAGTGAAACTGATGCAGGCATCCAGAAACCACAAATTGAGAAAACAAACTATCAGATGGTAACTAATTGGGTTAGTTAATAGATTCTAATAGGCAAGAAGTACAAAAAATAGAATGGTTTCTGTAAACATATTTGGATTTTACCATGTTATTAAATATATTGTAATTAGTCTTTATAAAAACATATCTGTGATTTTAATTTTTGTTTTGTGAATTATTTGTAGGCTTTTATATAGACATAGCCATAGCACTGAATGTTAGTATTTACCAATCTCTGATGTTAAATATTAAAATTTAAACTAATGGATATTGTTTAATGCACATTAAAATAATGGACTCATTACTTAATAAAATCATAGTTAATATGGCCCCAAGGCATAGTATCTAGACTTGCTCACTAGTGCCAAGTTTCCTGCATTGTTTTTAAGTCTGATAAAGCAGAGAGCAGAAAGACAAAAGGAAATAATGGATGAAGCAGCAGCACAGGTGGCGGCCAAGGCATCACTTAGTGATTGCCAATCACTCAGGAACATATCTGCTACTTGTTTCTCTCATTGTGCCTATTCTGCCACAGGTAAAATTCTGTGAAATTAAGTTTAATACAATATATTATTTTTTAAAATAATAAAATTGAGTAAAATATATTCTTCTGTAACATGTGTTTTATAACATGAATTAGCTCACACACATTTGGTGAAAATGGAAATGGAAGTGTATAATACAAATGTTGTATTAATTCATACTTGGTTTTCCCCTACATCATTGCTTAAATGTTCCAAAGGATTTAATTTAGAAGGACAGAGGGTTGATCAAGGAAGACATACCACACAGCTTTCAGGTAGTTATTATATTCAACATCCTCTTTCCTTACTCTTATCTTGACAACATCTCCTACACTTATTCCTTCTACAGTCCTGGACACAGTGCTTATGTTCAGAAGAAGATGCTAAGGCTCAGTGAGATTTTCACCTAACAATAACAATTCATTATGTGCCTGTATTCTCATTATGATGAAAGAATAAAAGACATCAAATGCAAGGGACGTCTTAGTCATGGCATAAAAATCATACCATTGTTCTGTTCTGTTTTATCTCCTTATCCCCAAAGCATTCTGCCTAAGAAAAGTAACACAAAACTGGAATTCCGATACCTGTTTGCTGAAGCATCTTTTCTTCTGGCAACTTTTAATAATATCTGATTTATAAATTTGGTTTATTAGATACTTGTTCAAGTTTCAAAATAAATAAATATGCCTACTATTTTTTATGTGAAAACAGAGGCCTCCTTATTTTGGCCCAATTGACCCTGATATTTTTAAAAGACTAAAACTGGAAGTGTTTCCCCATTTTTCCTTAGGGTACACCTTCATTGCAGCTTGCATTTACAGGACATTTATTTGTATTATCTAGGCATTGAACAAAGCTGGCTAACAAATACTTTCCAAAGGTCCCCTTAAAACTAGATTTATATTGGAAAAATTCTGAAGGCAAGTAATTCTCTGAGACATAGTCATTAACTTTTTTTTCTCAAGGAGGGCAATTTATTGAATTTATGCTAAAAGTCTATATTAGTCTGTTTTCATTCTGCTATAAAGACTGGGTAATTTATAAAGGAAAGAGTTTTAATTGATTCACAGCTCAGCATAGCTGGGAGTCCTCAGGAAACTTACAATCATGGTGCAGAGTGAAGGGGAAATAAGACACCTTCTTCACAAGGTGGCAGGAAGGAGAATGAAAGAAGGAGGAACTACAGAACACTTATAAAACCATTAGATCTCATGAGAACTCACTCACCATCCACAAGAACAGCATGGGGGAAATTGCCCCCATGATTTGATTACCTCCACTTGGTCTCTTTCTTGACACATGGGGATTATAGGGATTGTAGGGATTATGGAGATTACAATTCAAGATGAGATTTTGAGTGGGGACATAGCCAAACCACATCATTGTCCCATCTCCTCAGTAGAAAAGATTCAAGTCCTGTAGCACTTTGTTCCTTTTGGCTTATTTATCACCAGTTTACTTCCCTTTTTTTTCTGTATAAAGCTGTTCTCTGTTTCTCATTACAGTCCACCAGCTGATGTTTCCTCATTGTTGGATGGTACAGGTAGCGAGTAGTAAAGACCCTTTCCCCAATAATCCAGGAGGCCTCTTCTAAAGCTTTGCCCTACAACATCATTTCATTCACACAACATCATTTCATTCACAGCATAGCCCTCTCTAGTGGTTTGAAGACTTGTCGTGGTTTTATGACAGATAGAAATGTTGTAAAACAACCCTAGTGACTCCATTGAAGCTGTACAATCATTATCCCAAATAGCATTATTGAATATCTAGGAACTCTAGCAATAACAATTCAAGATGATGCTTAATCTTGACTGTGCCTATTAGTCTAGGATATCTGTGCATATCTGTGATCTCAGCAGTACGACCACTATTCTTTCCCTTTGGGAGGCCTGATACCACCATATAAGTATCTCTGTTTATTTCCACTTGAGATAGGTAGAGCAGCTGCACCGTAGGTGCATTAGCAAACTTAAAATCAGTAAACCGTGAAGAGAAACAGGACTTATACTGTTTTAAAGATCATATATTATATGTGAATTAGTACAGCATTATTTGAAATTGGATTGTGATAGAAGGATATTTATGTTGAATCCCTGGAACAAGCATTTAGAAATAACTCAGAGGGAGTAGACTCAAATCTATTAGCTAGCTAAGAAGTTAAGAGTTTGCTTAACTTAATAAAGAAAATCTATCACACATCTCTAATAAACCTTAATAAACATCATATCAAAGGGAGATGTTAACACTTCCTCTTAAAGTCAGTAAATATGCAAAGATATTTATTATGCCTTTGGAGGTATTATATTGGAGGTCTTCATTAGTGCATATAAAGAATAAAAGAGGGAAAACAATAATCATTATCATTTAATCATGTCATTTTCTTCAAGGAAGAAAAAAGAAAATCTACAAATTATAAGTTGATAATGAGTCCAGTAAAATTTCTGGTTATAATGTCAGTAAAGAAAAATCACTTTCATCCCTATTTATAAAAGATATCTGGACATTAGCAAACATTGAATAAGGTAGGTCTTTATAGGAAGTTTTTCTTTTATAATGAGGGTAATGTGAAGCCTTTATAGAATTTTAAACAAGAAAAAATTGTTGTTTCTAAGGAAGAATTGGAAAGAAACAAGATTAAAGACAGGGAGACCTAGTTAGGAGGCTGCTGTTGTAACTCAGTGAGAGATGAAAGTACCTGGATGAGGGGAGTGATATAGAGACGCTCTCTCCCGTGGATAAATTGAAGATATAGCCTGGAGGTCTCAGTGATTTATTATGTACAGTGAGAGAGTGAGGATTCTCACAAACTTCCCTGCTTTATGGATAGCAACAAAGGAGAGAACAATAGCACCAATCATTGAGCCAGAAAACATGGGAAATGAATATGTTTGTAGGTCAAGCATATGAATAAACTGTGAAATTTCAGATTCTCACAATATATCAAACTGGAGATAATTCTTTAAGAAATTGAATATATAGTTGTGAGTTACAGAAGAAAAACCTGAGCTGGAGACACAAGAGAAACTTCATGATATTGAACATAAAAAAAAAAAAAAAACATGATAGTGAGATCAATCAATCAGAGAAACTGTGTAGAAGTTTTGGGATAATAAGAAAGCCAAGATGGCCAGGTGCGGTGGCTCATGCCTGTAATCCCAGCACTTTGGGAGGCCGAGGTGGGCGGATCACAAGGTCAAGAGATTGAGACCATCCTGGTCAACACAGTGAAACCCCATCTCTACTAAAAATACGAAACTTAGCTGGGGGTGGTGGTGCACACCGGTAGTCCCAGCTACTCGGGAGGCTGAGGCAGGAGAATCACTTGAACCCTGGAGGCGGAGATTGCAGTAAGCCAAGATTGTGCCACTGCACCCCAGCCTGGCGACAGAGCAAGACTCCATCTCAAAAAAAAAAAAAAAAAAAGAGAAAAAGAAAACCAAGACAATGTTGATCTCCATCTAACATCTGGACAAAGGAGGTTGAAACTTTTAAAAGATGTGGCCAGGGAGGAAGAAATAGAATAGGCAAAAATGGAGCAAGATCATAGTGGAGATAGTAGAAAGTTGATAGAGAAGGTAGAAATAAGGGCAAGGGAAGGGACAGGGTAAGAAAGAGAAAAGAGGGGAAGGGAAGGAACAAACAGAATGTAAGAGAATCTTATATTTGTAACCAAAAGTAGGATTAACAGGATATTAAATGTGGGAGACCTAGCTGGCTACCAGATTGTAAAAGAATTCACCTTGACACTTGACTGTTTAATGGAGGCTCCCAGGCCTCTTGGTATACTATTGAGAAGTGTCACGGTCATGGTTTAACGCAAACTTAGGTTTCTGATGAGTGGAGAGATGCTTGTCTTTCTGAATTGAGCCAGATGACTTGAGTGGAAGGCTGGCAACATTTTTAAAATCTCAAGGCTGATGGCTCATCATGATGGTTAATTTTATGTGTAAGCTTAATGAGGCTATGGTGTGCCCAGATATTTGGTCAAACATTATTCTGGATGTGTCTGTGAGAGTGTTTATAGATGAGTTTAACATTTAAATTAATAGACTGAGTGAATTATATTGCCCTTCTTAATGTGAGTGGACCTCATGTAGTCAGTTGAAGGCCTGAACAGGACAGAAAGGTTGACTCTCTTTCATGCAAGAGGGAACTCTTCCTATCTGACTCCTTTAAGCTTGGACATTGTTTATTTCCTTTTGACTTGAACCAAAACATGGGTTTTTTTTCTGAATTTGAACCTACCAGCATTTGCACTAAACACCACCACTGGCTCTCCTGAGTCTCCAGCTTGCCGACTGCAGATCTCAGAACTTGTCAATCTCTCTCACTGTATCTCACTCTTTCCATGTTTATGTGACCAATAGGATATAGGATTCACACACACACACACACACACACACACACACACACACACACAAATTGGATCTACTTCTCTGGACAACTTTGACTAATATACCAATGGCTTTCCAGGATGTGACTGACATCCTTGGATTGATGTGAACCCTTCAAGACAACACACAGAGTATATTTGAATCCTTGGTGGGGAGTGTGGTTATCACTACTGATGAGAATTATTCTGCACTAGATTTTGTGAGTAAAGCAGAATGAAAGCTGTTGTTTATGCTCCCCAGAGGATGAATATCAAAATAAGAAAAGAAGAAGGGAATTGATGGGAAAGATATGTATTATGAGCCTTTAGTGAGGCATTGTCTTAAGGCATGTTACATCATCGCATGCATTATCTTGTAATTGAATCTTTATCATAAACAACTTTGTGAGGTAAGTATTATGGACCTGTAATGAAAATGAGGAAATAAAGCCATAAAGTTTAGGTAACTTTCCTTAGGTCACACAGGTAGAAGGTGGACAATTGAGTGATAAAAATCCAATGTTTCCTACTCTACAATCATTCTTTTTAAATCTTCTCATTATACCTGGCTACTTTTAATTTTTAGTATACATGAAACAATCGGGGAATGATGTTAAATGTATGATTATTAGAAAATATTAATATTAAATGGGGCATTTTCGATCCATGCTTCACATACCTGAATTTTAAAGCAGAAGCAATTCAATCAGATCCCATTGTTGTCTTACAATATTTTAAATATACAATTACTTAAACATATATAAATATAAAAGGCAGCATAAATATATTTTACTTATAAACACATGAATCAAACAAACTTATACATTAAATGAAATAAACCCAAGAATAAACTCAATTAATACTATATTATGGTTGACGATGTTTTGCTGAAACTAAATTACAGCTTACAGAATGAATATAGTCATGACTGTTCTAGTCAGGCTCTTATATTTGACATGCCTATACTACTGTCTAGTTGTGATGTAAAATTTTCACTACTTTGCCATTTCTAAACTACTGTGAAATACTCTACAGAATATTTTAAAGTTATGTGGCATTTATCTGGCACAAGAGCATAGTTTACCTAAACATCATATATTAAATCTTTCTCAGTGCTTTCCCACTAATGAGCCAATTCAAGTAGAAGGTTTTGGCATCAATGTTAATGCAAACCAAAATGCAAACTTGGATATTAAAATTTCAATGCAATATTATGAGGTGTTTGAACTAAATAACCAAGGACACATATACAATATTTTTTTGTAATGTTCTGACTTTATTACACTTTCCAAATAACCAGATACATACATGTTTTATACCTTGGTCTCCTCACCTGTAAAACTGAGATAAGAATAATAGCTATCTCCTGATCTCAGGAGATAAACCCGCCATGGCCTCCCAAAGTACTGAGATTACAGGTGCAATACCAGCCTGGCCAACATTGTGAAACCCCGTCTGTAGTGAAAAATACAAAAAATTAGCCAGGCGTGGTGCTGGGCGCCTGTAATCCCAGCTACTTGGGAGGCCTCAGCAGGAGAATCACTTGAACCTGGGAGGCAGAGGTTGCAGTGAGCCGAGATTGAGCCACTGCACTCCAGCCTGGGCAACATGAGCGGAACTCTGTCTGAAATAAATAAATAAATAAATAAATAATAGCTATCTCATAAATGTGTATGAGTTTTAGAAGAGTTAATACTGTATGTGCTCAATACTTAAAAATGCTTTTCATATATTCAGTTCCCAATAAATGTTAACTAATATCCTTAACAACTTTCATCCTAAATTGTTATTCATCTTAGCAGTTTTTACCATATGTTTTGATATCATAAAATATCAAAGTATTTCTAAAATTACTAAAAGTTCACAAACCTCTGAGGATATATTTGTGGGATCCAGGATTTATAGACGCTCAATCTGACAAACTCTGGTTCAGACTTTCTGTACTATTATGGTCAGAGAGCTGTGATTCACATACAACAATATTACACAGAACAATTATTCCCAGTTTATTGGTGATATTTTGCAAAAAAAAAAAAAAAGTCATTTTTCTCCATACTTACACATCTGCATATCCAAATAGATTTCTGCTATTTGCCTTCCACAAACTCAACTGTCAAATCTACGAAGTGCTGAGTGTTTATATTTCAGTGTCCTAAACTTTTCACTACAGATCTGATACTGGGTATTTTTATATGTATATATTTCTGGAAAATTTGGACTGAAAGAGTTTGACCAAAAAATGTAGATTTGTGTTGATATACTTTTTTCTTATATATAAATTATCTTTTAAAATCAATATAACTTATTGATTATATATTTTAAAGTGCCAAATATTTTACAATCCCTAATGGATTCAGTGCAAATAAAACCAATGTCAAATTATTCCACCCACTCTTTTTCCAACTGTATTTACTATGATCCTCAAGGCCAAGGGAATCAGATGCATGATTACATGAGAAAGCACATGTTGTGCTGACCCCAGTGAAGACAACTCACATTCATCTGGGCTTCTCTTGTGAGCATGGACCCTACTGAAGCTGCATTTCTGCCTGCCAATGACAATGTCTTTTCCTAACAAAGGCAGAAATTTTCAGCTATATGAAACTCTTAGACAATTGAAACTCAATTTTAAAATGGAGGAGAATTGACGACAGGACAGCAGAAAAATTATTCCCCAGAGATTCATGAGAAATTAGTAATTCACTATTTAAAACAAACTGTTTACTTTTTATTGTCAAAATATAGAGGAAGATCATAAAACTTCATAAGAAATTCATATTCTGTTTATTAAAAGTAGAATCCTCAGTTCTGTCTAGATAAAATCATTAGAATATCACTACATTTTTTAAACTGTCAGGATCAACTTTTTTCCTGCTAGAATAAAAAAATAACAAAAAGGAAAGTTAACCTAAATGAGAAACTTAAAATTAATTTTTCAAAAACTCTCTCCAAAAATAATTTCAGTAACTAATTCTTCTGCTGCTAGTCATTTAATATCAGAGGCAAAGCGTGATTTTAATTGCACATATCACCATTCTTCAGGAAAACAAAGCACAAAATTTACTACCATCCAGCTTTCTTTGTAGGACTATTAGGTTACACGAAGTCTCCACATTTATATATTCCTTGCAGGCCTTTTCAACAAGATCTCTTTTGGCTTTGAGAATCAATTTTCCTAGCAGTACCATGGCTTGCTTACCCACTGAACTACATAACATTTTTTTGTTGATTTTTCTGGATTGTGTGTATTATCTAATTTGTTCTACTGAATTCTGAACCCTCTTTAAATGATGCATATCATTTAGAAGGACAATGGAAGACTCTACAATGTCCAGCAGCAGTAGCTAACTTTGTGACAGCCTGATTATCACATTATTACTTCCCACCTGAAGCACCTTCTAATCGTTTTGTAATTGAGCTGTCCAGAACAACAGCAATCACACCGACAATAACATGTCATTAATTGCATTAAGGAGCTTATATTCAGTAAAAATAATAACATAAGTTTCCTAATATTTGGCATATACTAGTTTCAGTTCTCTGTAACACAGATGCCACTGATCACAATGTAATTGTCAGGAAAAGAAAATCAGCCAGCTAGAGCCTATGAGCTGATTAGCATAAAGGAAATCTACACTTGTGAACACAGACAAAACCTGGCTTTGCAGAACACAACAGATGTGATTGGCATAACTGTTTGACCCCTAAGTTTAAGGGGAGATTCTTGTGGTTCTATTCTTCCTTTAGAATCATAGTGTGAAATGAAGGCAGAATGCTACCATTCTAACCCTTTCGATTTCTCTTCTCCCCTCTATTAGTCAGCTTATAGAGCTTCACTGCTAGTCCTAAGTTCCTGGTTGTGTGATAAAGGAGCAAACGTTGCCATTGGAAACTTTAGTCTGGCCCATTTACTGTCTACAAAACAACAACAAAAAGAAGCAATAGGGAAATGAACTTTGTAAATGCTTCCAAGAATGACCAAAATGAAAAAAAAAAATTTAAAAAATAAAATTTGTGGATCGAATAGCTGGCACTTTTTTTTACACAATCAATATCATTTCTCCTATCAAAATAAAAAGTATATAGAAATGACAACTCCTCCTTATTACGGTGTGAAAACAACTTACTTGCCTATATCTCTGTGTTTTACTAAGGAAGGGAGTAAATTCACTTTTATACAGGTTACATGATGATGTATCTTGGATGAAGTTGTAATCATGACTCAGCCTCAGACAACAAATGTTAGAACACATGCTTGTCTGCAGTTTGTTTTTGCAGGAATTAATGTCACAAAATTGTTAAAATATATTGAACACTTACTGTATGTCAAGTCCTGTGCAAAGTGCTTTACAGATGTTATTAACTCATTTGGTCCCCCCAATAAACTCATGAGAGAGGATTAAATGTCATCCCCATTTTATAGACAAGAACATTGAGACAATAAGGTAAAGGTCTCAAGAGCTCATAAGTGGTCAAGTTGGAATTCAAAACCAGGCAGTCAGACTCCAAGGTCCATTCTTCTAAGTACCATGTAAGACATACCAAGGTAAACTATCTGATTTAGAAGACAATATGTTTCTATGGAAGTGGCTTGAGCTGAGTTTTCTACAGATAAGCTATCTGTTCTTGAGCAAATCCGTTCATTGTAACGGGACTTAGTTTTTCCATCTGTCAGCAAAGGGTACAATTTCAAAGTACTTCCCTAATCTGAGATAGGTAGATATAGATATATAATTTTTCCATAATTTTTTTTTTGGAATTCATTCTGATCTTCATTAACCTACTCTGTTGTATGGAGACCTCCTTACAACAATAAAAGTGCCAACATTGACAGTCTGTGGCTAAACAAAATGTTGTCACTACTTTTTTTCTTCACCCACTTTATATGAGATGAGGGAGTTCAATTTTCCACTCTGAATTGGTTCATTCCTCCTGTGCTGTAACTTACACAGTCTTCATTCACACATTTGAAATTTGCAGATGGTTAGGCTTTAAAGATGTAAAGATATAATAATCATATACTAAAACAATTACCTGACAAATCAAAAGTCATCAGAAAAGCAAAGTAAATAATAATCACTTGGTAAAGCTATCAGCTTTTCAGGTTATGATAACTTTCCATGGACATTCTTTGATAGAACTATGGGGAAAGCAAGAAAATGAGTATAAAATCTTTTGCTCTTTGGAGCAGTTATTCAATAACAAATATCATGACTCCTCACCTTTGTGTGGTTAATATGAGGTTCCTTTCCTAATGAAACAATATAAAATTGAAGGAAATTAAAATAAATTAAATTTTCATATTTTGGGTGGTATTTAATGACTTTCTTAATATTAATCTTCTTGTATGGACCAGAAACACAGTCCTTCATTAATTCTCTACTACAATGGCTGTCACATTTATACAAAACCAATGAAGAAAAAGAAAAAAACAAACATTTACCCACTTCTTTGTTCATTCTTCTGAATCCAAGCTAAGTTTTCATCACATGCCTCTCTTGAAGTAGCCCGTTCCACCCTTGGCAATAAATTGGGCTTAACAATCTTTCTCCTTGTATCTATGTGAAAATTGTTTGGGTAATTCAGGCTACCTTGCCTAGTAATTTCCTAGGATATGAGAAAGTAATATAGTTTCTGGGTACTGGGAAAGAAATTATATCACACTTTTGTGATATACACTATGCAAGAAAAGTAGGTTTTCTTTCTATTTTATCTTAGAGGTATTAGTTGGTGTTAAATAACTCATCCGTTTTTCACCTGTGCCTTTTTTCCTATTTTTTGTGTGTGTGGTAGTGGTGAGGGGGGAATGAAAGTGGTGCAAACTTTGAACTTAGGTATGCTATTTATTGTGTTTCTCACTTTATTTCTACTAGATACAAAATAACTTTTTAAAGAAGTTGTTGCTTAGATTTTTCCCTTTCCTCTCTATTAAAATGATTATTCAGTGTATTCAGATTTTTGACATTTCACATCTGATTGCTCCAACTGTGTACAATTTACAGTCTCTTAGTCTATCTTGCTGCCTAGTTTATATTTAATTCCATTGTACTTTATACATAGTTACCATAGGGCTTTTCCATATGATAACAAAGATGAGGTCAATTGTTTGACGGGACCACACAATGTTTATTTCTGGTTAAAAATATTTTAAATTGCATGTTTAATTTACACTTAAAATATACACACAGTATAATTTGAATTAGAGTTTATGAGTTTTGAAAAATACATACAGTTATGTAGCCATCACTACAATCAAGATACAGAACAGTTCCATCACTGTCAAACATGAACCTTTGAGTCATTTTCTCCTAACCATTGATCTGTTTTCTATTATAGTGTTTCCTCTTCCAAGATAGTGCAAAAAATAGAAGCATGAAATATGTAAACTTCTTAGCTTGGCCTCTTTCATTTTGCTGAATGCATTCGTAATTTATCCATGTTAGTATACATATCAGTATTTTTTCCTTTTACTGCTGGGTAGTAATCCAATTCATCCATTCACTAGTTGAACATTTGGGTTTTATCTAGCTTTTGATGATTAAAATAAAGCTATTAAAACATTTGTGTATAAGGTTTTGGGTTAATATAAATTTACATTACCTTCATTTCCATACTTTTTTGCTGGAATATATAGCAGGTATATGTTTAGCTTTATAAGAATTTGCCAAACTGTTTTCCAAAGTGGCTAAACTAGCGAGTATTCCAACCAGCAGTGTATGAGGGTTCTGATTGCTCCAAATCTTCTCCAGAACTAGATATTGTCTGATTTATTTTTATTTTTAGCCACGGAGATCTCCCTATGTTGCCCAGGATAGAGTGCAGTGGCTATTCACATGTACAATGGAAATGCACTACAGCCTTGATATCTTGGCCTTCCTGAGCAGCTGGGACTACAGAAGTATGCCACTGTACTTGACTTTTTTTTAATATTGTCTGATTTTTTAAAATGTTACTCATTATAATAAATTAAATAGCATCTCATTGCAATTTTAAACACAGTTTTGAGATATAAGTGACATGAATTAAACCATTGAGTTAGCACTTTATGTGTTTTTAATTTTCGTATAGATTCATATTTTCGTTTGGTATCATTTTACTTCTGTGAAAAAAAACTTCCTTTATTTCCTGTTGTGTAGTAAAATCATTTCATCCTTTTTTGTGCCTTCATTTAAAAAAAATTTTCCCCAGGTATAGAATTCCATGTTGACTGTTTTGTTTTGTCTTCAATACTCTACACTTGCTACTTCTCTGTCTTTCCACTTATATTGTTGTGAGTGAAAAATTTGCTGACATCTTTATTTTGTTCCTCTGTTTATAACATAGATTTTCCTCTTCTGGGTTTTCAGATGTTTTCTTTATCACTGATTTTGAACAATTTGATTATGATGTGCCATGGTAAAGTTTTCTTTATGTTTCTTCTTTTTGAGGTTACTTGAGATTCCTGAATCTGTGGCTTTCTAGTTTTCATCAAATTTGAAGCACTTGTAGGCATTACTTTTTCAAATTTTTTCTGTTCCTTTCTACTCTTCTTTGGAGTCTCCAACTGCACAAATTTCAAAGCCTTTGAAGTCATCCCACAGTTACTGACTCTCTATTCATTTTGTAAAATTATCTCTCTGTTTCATTGTGGATATTGCTATGTCTTTAACTACTCTGCAATGTTTAATCTGCCATTTATTCTAATGTTATTTTCCTCTTGAGTATTATAGTTTTAAATCTCTAAGTTTGATCTGTGTGCTCTCTCTTTAAAGAATATTATATGTATTTGAATTTTTGAACATATGAAACATACAGTTTAATGTCAATCTGCTAATTCTAACATCTATGTCAGTTCTAGGTCAGTTTTGAAAGGCTTTTCTCCTCATTATAGATCATATATTCCTGCCTCATTCCATGCCTGATAACAATGTATTGACAGATATATATTAGGAATTTTAGCTTGTCACATCCTCAATATTTTGATATTATTGTATAACTCTCGAACTTTTTCATTGTATGTAGTTAAGTTACTTGGAAATAGTTTGATTCCTTCAGGTCTTGTTTTTAGGATTTACTAAAACCACAATATAGCAGTACTCATCACAGTGCTCAGTCTAGGGCCAACTTTTATATCACACTGAGATTAAGACCATTTTGTGTACCCTGCTCAATGGGTCATAAACTTATTTTTCCCAATCTAGAGGGTGCCGACAGGTTCTTTCTTTAGCTCTTTGTGAATGTCAAGCACTGTTTCCTCTAATCTTTTGAGGTGGTTCTTTTCTCAACTTTAGGTAGTTTTTTTGTTGTGTGTGAGTTTGACCTATGCTCGGGTGAATACTGGAAAGGACTTCTTGCCAGATCTCTAGAGTTCTCTCTCTCTGTGCAACTCTTTCCTCTCGGTACTCTGTCTTCATTACTTTAGCAACCTTCGTCTCCAGGGATTTCTCAGCTCCGAGTCTGATGACAAAACTTATCTTTCTCCTTCCTCCCTTTACTCCAGCTTCGAAACTCTCTCAAGGCAATAAGCTGGGGCAATCGCAGGGCTCCGCTTTCTTGTTTTACCTCTCTCAGAGGTCACTGTCCATTGATTTATGACCAATGTCTTCTAAACAATTGTTTTAGTATTTTATCTGTTATTTTGGTATTTCCAGTGGGGAAAAGTCAGGTAGCTATTCATTCATTCTGACTAAAAGCAAAAGTAAACTCTGTTGTATACCTTTGTAAAATTATACTAGATTAATAATAATATCTAAACCCACAAAGATGAAACAAACTGGGGAAGGAATAACAGTTCAAAGGAATATTAAGCAGGAAATATGGAAAAAAGATTAGTAAATGGCATCTGATTTAGTTGAGCAGGAAGTTGGAGCCTAAGTATTGGCATTGCAAGTAGCCATTCAGAATCAAAACAATTAATAATGGCAGAATTCCCTAATGTCTCAGGACCTCAGGATTTCTTTTGGCCAGAATAAATGTTTTATTTTAAGACAAATCTCTGTGTTTATGTTTTTTTGTTTTTGTTTTTGTTTTGGTGGTGGTATTTCAACAAGTCATCCCACATAACAGGGAGGAAAACTTCCACTGAATAACTTGGTAGCCTCTCTGAGGCATCATTCATGAGTCTTTGACAGTGTTAAAACTGAAAGAAGCTCAATTTTCAAACTTTTATTAAGTTCAAACTTTTCATTTTTCTCAGAGAAAAAATTTCTGGGCTTAGGAAAGCTGGGGTCCCAGAAGCAAATCGAAGGGCTGGGGCAGCTGGTCTGGCAGGGGATGCTGGGAGCAATCAGTTCCAGGCTCGTAGAATCCATATTTGGCTTGGGTCTGATGACAGCTGAGCCTGTTCTCTGACCAAGCGTTCTTCAATTTTAGAGCCCAAAATAGGATAAATAAATGATACTCTACAATACCAAAAGATAGACAGCCATAAGCTTTACCTGCCATCACAGTAATCCAAAATCTTCTGCTCCCTTTCCCCTGCAGAAGGTTGGATTTATGTTTGAAGATGTTGAATTCGACAATTTCTTTTATTTATTTATTTTTATTTTTATTTATTTATTTATTTATTTTTTGGAGTCGGAGTCTCGCTCTGGCGCCCAGGCTGGAGTGCAGTGACGCGATCTTGGTTCACTGCAACCTCCGCCTCCCGGGTTCAAGCAATTCTTCCTGCCTCAGCCTCCCAAGTAGCTGAGACTACAAGCACACGCTGCCACTGCAGGCTAATTTTTTGTATTTTAGTAGAGACGGGGTTTCACCATGTTGCCCAGGCTGGTCTCAAACTCCTGAGCTCAGGCAATCCGGCTGCCTCGGCCTCCCAAAGTGTTAGGATTACAGGCGTGAGCCACCGCACCCGGCCGAATTTGACAATTTCTAAATTTTGGCACTTTAAGCACACCTGAAGGCAAAAAGGATTAAGTAATAATCTCATGAAAAACAGTGTGACCTAGTTCTTTTCTCCTGCAAAATTCCCACAACATTGGCAATCAGGCCCATAGATCTCAATCGAGATTCTAAACTTTCCTCTTAGGACTGTTTCGCTGCATCCCCGGTTGCAGTATGCCCTGTCTCCATTTTGGTTTATTTCAAGATGTTTTTAAATTTCTCTTTCACTTTCTCCATTAGCCCCTTAGCTGTTCAGGAGCATGTTTAATTTCCATATATGTGTGAATTTTCTAAAATTCCTCCTGTTATATAGTTTCATATCATTTTGGTGAGATAACTGATATGATTTCAATGTTCCTAAATTTATTAAAACTGGTTTTGTGGTCTAACATATCATCTATCCTGGAGAATGTTCCTTGGGCACTTTAAAAGAATGTGTATTCTGTTTCTTGTTGGATAGAATGTTGTATACATGTCTGTTAGGTTCACTTGGTCTAAATGTTTCTTTATTAATTTTTTGTCTGGATGATCTTTACATTGCTGAAAGTGAAGTATTGAAGTCCTGTAATATAATTATATTACCATCTTTCTCTCCTTTTAGATTTATTAATATTTGCTTTACATATTTAGGTGCTTTGGTATTGGGTGCATATATATTTAAAATTATTATAGTCTCTTGATCAATGGACTCCTTTTTTTCATTATAAAATGTCTTTCTTTGACTCATTTTACAGTTTTTAATGTAAGGTCTATTTTATCGAAAATGAATATAGCTACCCTGCTCTCTTTCGGTATTCATTTGCATGAACTACCCTTTTTCATTCCTTCACTTTAAGTCTGTGTTTGTCTTTACAGGTCAAGTGAATCTCAAAAAAGAAGAAAGTGAGTCTTAAATAAGAAAGCTCCCAAATAAACAACCTAAATTTGTACATCAAGAAACTAGATAAACAAGAACAAATTTAGCCCAAAGTTAGCAGAGGGAAATAAATAATAAAGAACAGAAAAGAAATAAATGAACTAGAGATGAGAAACAGTACAAAAGATCAATAAAAGTAAGAGATGTTTCTTGAAAAGATTAACATCAACAAATTTTAGCTAGACTAAAAACAGAGAAGACTTAAAAATAATATCAGTAAAAAAGGAGACATTACAACTGATATCACAGCAATACAATAGGTCAGGAGATTACAATAAAAAATTGCACATGAACAAATTGGGACAACCTAGAAAAAATTGGATAAATTCCTAGACATATACAATCTACCTAAATAGAATCATGAAGAAATAGAAAGTCTGAACAGATCAATAATGAGTAAGGAGATTAAAATATTAATAACTCATTTCCTATCAAATAAAACCCCAAACCTAATGGCCTTATTGCCAAATTCTACCAACTATTTGAAGAACTAATACTAATCCATCTCAAACTCTTCAAAAAAATTAAAGAAAATACTTCCAAACTCATTTACAAGGACAAATTTTCTCTGATACCAAAAACAGACAAAGACAGCATAAGAAAAAAATTATAGGCTAATATTCTTGATGAATATAGATACAAAAATCTTCAATAAAATATTAGCAAACTGAATTCAACAACACATTGAATGAATTATTCAACATGATCAAGTGAGATTTACGCCAGAGATATAGGAATGATTTGACCTATGCAAATCTATAAATGTGATACTACATTAACAGAATGAAGAACAAAAAACATGATAATTTTAATATATCCAGAAAAAGCATTTGACAGAATTTAACAACCTTTCAAGATAAAAAGTCTCAACAAATTCTATATAAAAAATGTACCTCAACACAATGAATAACATATATGATAAGCCCGTAACTAAAATCATACTCAACAGTAAAGGGTTAAAACCTTTATGACTAAGATCAGGAAAGATAAGGATGTCCACTCTCTCCACTTTTATTTTAGCCAGAACAATTAGGTAAGAGAAAGAAATAAAAAGCATCATCATTGGAAAGGAAAAAAAAATTAAATTCTCTGTTTGCAGACAACAGGATTTTAAATATGGAACACACTAAAGAGTCCACCAAAAATCTGCTAGAACTAATACATAAATTCAGTAAAATAGCAGGATATAAAATCAATATACAAAAATCAGTTACATTTCTACACATTAACAATGAATTATCTTAAGAAGAAATCAAGAAAACAATTCCATTAGAAATAGCTACAAAAAATAATTAAAAATAAATTTAACAAAGGAGGTGAAATACCTGTACACTGAAAATTCTAAAACATTGGGTGAAATAGAAGACACAAATAAATGGAACAATATCTCATGTATATGGATCATAATAATTAATATTGCTAAAATGTCAATACCACCCAAAGCAATCTACAGATTTAATGCAATCCTTATCAAAATTCTAATAATATTTTTCACAGAAATAGAAAAAATTCCTAAAACTTTTTTGCAATCACAAAAGACCCCAAATAGCTAAAGAAATCTTGAGCAAAAAGAACAGCAATCAAAGTGTACTACAAAGCTATAGTGATCAAAACAGCATGGTATTGGCATAAAAAGAGATATGTTGACCAATGGAAAAGAATAGAGAGCTCAGAAAGAAGTTAACCCAGCCAGTGGTCAATTGACTTCTGACAAAGGGGAAAGTATAGGCACTTCAATAAATGACACAACTGAACAAGTGGATATCCACATGCAGAAGAATTAAATTATACCATTAGCTAATATCATATATGAAAATTAATTCAAAATGGATTAAGGAGTTAAACATAAGATCCCAAACTGTAAAACTACTAGAAGGAAACTGTGAAACTGCTAGAAGGTAAATCTCTATGTCTTTGGCCTAAATATAAATTTTTTTCGACAAGACTTCAAAAGCATGGGCAACAAAAGCAGAAATAAAATTGGACTACATCAAAATAAAAACTTTTGCACAGCCAAGGAAACAATCAACAGTAAAAAGACAGCTAGAGAATGGGAGCAAATATTTGCATAGCATACGTACATCTGATAAGGATTAATATCCAAAATATATAAGGAACTCATACAAATTACTAGCAAGAAAACTAATTACCACTTTAAATGGCCGAATAGGAACAGCTCAGGTCTACAGCTCCCAGCGTGAGCGACGCAGAAGATGGGTGCTTTCTGCATTTCCATCTGAGGTACCGGGTTCATCTCACTAGGGAGTGCCAGACAGTGGGCACAGGTCAGTGGGTGCAGCGCACCAAGTGCGAGCCGAAGCAGGGGGAGGCATTGCCTCACTCGGGAAGTGCAAGGGGTCAGGGAGTTCCCTTTCCTAGTCAAAGAAAGGGGTGATAGACGGCACCTGGAAAATCGGGTCACTCCCACCTGAATACTGTGCTTTTCCGACGGGCTTAAAAAACGGCACACCTGGAGATTATATCCTGCACCTGGCTCAGAGGGTCCTACACACACGGAGTCTCACTGATTGCTAGCACAGCAGTCTGAGATCAAACTGCAAGGTGGCAGAGAGGCTGGGGGAGGGACGCCCGCCATTGCCCAGGCTTGCTTAGGTAAACAAAGCAGCCGGGAAGCTCCAACTGGGTGGAGCCCACCACACCTCAAAGAGGCCTGCCTGCCTCTGTAGGCTCCACCTCTGGGGGCAGGACACAGACAAACAAAAAGACAGCAGTAACCTCTGCAGACTTAAATGTCCCTGTCTGACAGCTTTGAAGAGAGCAATGGTTCTCCCAGTATGCAGCTGGAGATCTGAGAAATGGCAGACTGCCTCCTCAAGTGGGTCCCTGACCCCTGACCCCTGAGCAGCCTAACTGGGAGGCACCCCCCAGCAGGGGCAGACTGACACCTCACTCGGCCGGGTACTCCTCTGAGACAAAACTTCCAGAGGAACAATCAGACAGCAGCATTCATGGTTCATGAAAAACCACTGTTTTGCAGACACTGCTGCTGATACCCAGGCAAACAGGGTCTGGAGTGGACCTCTAGCAAACTCCAGCAGACCTGCAGCTGAGGGTCCTGTCTGTTAGAAGGAAAACTAACAAACAGAAAGGACATCCACACCAAAAACCCATCTGTACATCACCATCATCAAAGACCAAAAGTAGATAAAACCACAAAGATAGGGAAAAAACAGAACAGAAAAACTGGAAACTCTAAAAAGCAGAGCAGCTCTCCTCCTCCAAAGGATCGCAGTTCTTCACCAGCAATGGAACAAAGCTGGACGGAGAATGACTTTGACGAGTTGAGAGAAGAAGGCTTCAGACGACCAAACTACGAGCTACAGGAGGAAATTCAAACCAAAGGCAAAGAAGTTAAAAACTTTGAAAAAAATTTAGACGAATGTATAACTAGAATAACCAATACAGAGAAGTGCTTAAAGGAGCTGATGGAGCTGAAAGCCAAGGCTCGAGAACTACGTGAAGAATGCAGAAGCCTCAGGAGCCGATGAGATCAACTGGAAGAAAGGGTATCAGCGATGGAAGATGAAATGAATGAAATGAAGTGAGAAGGAAAGTTTAGAGAAAAAAGAATAAAAAGAAACGAACAAACCTCCAAGAAATATGGGACTATGTGAAAAGACCAAATCTACGTCTGATTGGTGTACCTGAAAGTGACGGGGAGAATGGAACCAAGTTGGAAAACACTCTGCAGGATATTATCCAGGAGAACTTCCCCAATCTAGCAAGGCAGGCCAACATTCAGATTCAGGAAATACAGAGAACGCCACAAAGATACTCCTCGAGAAGAGCAACTCCAAGACACATAATTGTCAGATTCACCAAAGTTGAAATGAAGGAAAAAATGTTAAGGGCAGCCAGAGAGAAAGGTCGGGTTACCCACAAAGGGAAGCCCATCAGACTAACAGCGGCTCTCTCAGCAGAAACTCTACAAGCCAGAAGAGAGTGGGGGCCAATATTCAACATTCTTAAAGAAAAGAATTTTCAACCCAGAATTTCATATCCAGCCAAACTAAGCTTCATAAGTGAAGGAGAAATAAAATACTTTACAGACAAGCAAATGCTGAGAGATTTTCTCACCACCAGGCCTGCCCTAAAAGAGCTCCTGAAGGAAGCACTAAACATGGAAAGGAAAAACCGATACCAGCCACTGCAAAATCATGCCAAAATGTAAAGACCATTGAGACTAGGAAGAAACTGCATCAACTAATGAGCAAAATAACCAGCTAACGTCATAATGACAGGTTCAAATTCACACATAACAATATTAACTTTAAATGTAAATGGACTAAATGCTCCAATTAAAAGACACAGACTGGCAAATTGGATAAAGAGTCAAGACCCATCAGTGTGTTGTATTCAGGAAACCCATCTCACATGCAGAGACACACATAGGCTCAAAATAAAAGGATGGAGGAAGATCTACCAAGCAAATGGAAAACAAAAAAAGGCAGGGGTTGCAATCCTAGTCTCTGATAAAACAGACTTTAAACCAACAAAAATCAAAAGAGACAAAGAAGACCATTACATAATGGTAAAGGGATCAATTCAACAAGAAGAGCTAACTATCCTAAATATATATGCACCCAATACAGGAGCACCCAGATTCATAAAGCAAGTCCTGAGTGACCTACAGAGAGACTTAGACCCCCACACATTAATAATGGGAGACCTTAACACCCCACTTTCAACATTAGACAGATCAACGAGACAGAAAGTCAACAAGGATACCCAGGAATTGAACTCAGCTCTGCACCAAGCGGACCTAATAGACATCTACAGAACTCTCCACCCCAAATCAACAGAATGTACATTTTTTTCAGCAACACACCACACCTATTCCAAAATTGACCACATACTTGGAAGTAAAGCTCTCCTCAGCAAATGTAAAAGAACAGAAATTATAACAAACTATCTCTCAGACCACAGTGCAATCAAACTAGAACTCAGGATTAAGAAACTCACTCAAAACTGCTCAACTACATGGAAACTGAACAACCTGCTCCTGAATGACTACTGGGTACATAACGAAATGAAGGCAGAAATAAAGATGTTCTTTGAAACCAACGAGAACAAAGACACAACATACCAGAATCTCTGGGACACATTCAAAGCAGTGTGTAGAGGGAAATTTATAGCACTAAATGCCCACAAGAGAAAGCAGGAAAGATCCAGAATTGACACCCTAACATCACAATTAAAAGAACTAGGAAAGCAAGAGCAAACACATTCAAAAGCTAGCAGAAGGCAAGAAATAACTAAAATCAGAGCAGAACTGGAGGAAATAGAGACACAAAAAACCCTTCAAAAAATTAATGAATACAGGATCTGGTTTTTTGCAAGGATCAACAAAATTGATAGACCACTAACAAGACTAATAAAGAAAAAAAGAGAGAAGAATCAAATAAACGCAATAAAAAAAGATAAAGGGGATATCACCACTGATCCCACAGAAATACAAACTACCATCAGAGAATACCACAAACACCTCTGTGCAAATAAACTAGAAAATCTAGAAGAAATGGATAAATTCCTCGACACATACACTCTCCCAAGACTAAACCAAGAAGAAGTTGAATCTCTGAATAGACCAATAACAGGAGCTGAAATTGTGGCAATAATCCATAGCTTACCAACCAAAAAGAGTCCAGGACCAGATGGATTCACAGCCGAATTCTACCAGAGGTACAAGGAGGAACTGGTACCATTCCTTCTGAAACTATTCCAATCAATAGAAAAAGAGGGAATCCTCCCTAACTCATTTTGTGAGGCCAGCATCATCCTGATACCAAAGCCAGGCAGAGACACAACCAAAAAAGAGAATTTTAGACCAATATCCTTGATGAACATTGTTGAAAAAATCCTCAGTAAAATACTGGCAAACCGAATCCAGCAGCACATCAAACAGCTTATCCACCATGATCAAGTGGGCTTCATTCCTGGGATGCAAGGCTGGTTTAATATATGCAAATCAATAAATGTAATCCAGCATATAAACAGAACCAATGACAAAAACCACATGATTATCTCAATAGATGCAGAAAAGGCCTTTGACAAAATTCAACAACTCTTCATGCTAAAAACTCTCAATAAATTAGGTATTGATGGGACGTATCTCAAAATAATAAGAGCTATCTATGACAAACCCACAGCCAATATCATACTGAATGGGCAAAAACTGGAAGCATTCCCCTTGAAAACTGGCACAAGACAGGGATGCCCTCTCTCATCACTCCTATTCAACATAGTGTTGGAAGTTCTGTCCAGGGCAATTAGGCAGGAGAAGGAAATAAAGGGTATTCAATTAGTAAAAGAGGAAGTCAAATTGTCCCTGTTTGCAGACGACATGATTGTATATCTGGAAAACCCCATTGTCTCAGCCCAAAATCTCCTTAAGTCGATAAGCAACTTCAGCAAATTCTCAGGATACAAAATCAATGTACAAAAATCACAAGCATTCTTATACACCAACAACAGACAAACAGAGAGCCAAATCATGAGTGAACTCCCATTCACAATTGCTTCAAAGAGAATAAAATACCTAGGAATCCACCTTACAAGGGACGTGAAGGACCTCTTCAAGGAGAACTACAAACCACTGCTCAATGAAATAAAAGAGGATACAAAGAAATGGAAAAACATTCCATGCTCATGGGTAGGAAGAATCAATATTGTGAAAATGGCCATACTGCCCAAGGTAATTTATAGATTCAATGCCATCCCCATCAAGCTACCAATGACTTTCTTCACAGAATTGGAAAAAACTACTTTAAAGTTCATATGGAACCAAAAAAGAGCCCGCATTGCCAAGTCAATCCTAAGCCAAAAGAACAAAGCTGGAGGCATCACACTACCTGACTTCAAACTATACTACAAGGCTACGGTAACCAAAACAGCATGGTACTGGTACCAAAACAGAGATATAGATCAATGGAACAGAATAGAGCCCTCAGAAATAATGCCACATATCTACAACTGTCCGATCTTTGACAAATTTGAGAAAAACAAGCAATGGGGAAAGGATTTCCTATTTAATAAATGGTGCTGGGAAAATTGGCTAGCCATATGTAGAAAGCTGAAACTGGATCCCTTCCTTACACCTTATACAAAAATCAATTCAAGATGGATTAAAGACTTAAACATTAGACCTAAAACCATAAAAACCCTAGAAGAAAACCTAGGCATTACCATTCAGGACATAGGCATGGGCAAGGACTTCATGTCTAAAACACCAAAAGCAGTGGCAACAAAAGCCAAAATTGACAAATGGGATCTAATTAAACTAAAGAGCTTCTGCACAGCAAAAGAAACTACCATCGGAGTGAACAGGCAACCTACAAAATGGGAGAAAATTTTCGCAACCTACTCATCTGACAAAGGGTTAATATCCAGAATCTACAATGATCTCAAACAAATTTACAAGAAAAAAACAAACAACCCCATCAAAAAGTAGGCAAAGGACATGAACAGACACTTTTCAAAAGAAGACATTTATGCAGCCAAAAAACACATGAAAAAATGCTCACCATCAGTGGCCATCAGAGAAATGCAAATCAAAACCACAATGAGATATCATCTCACACCAGTTAGAATGGCAATCATTAAAAAGTCAGGAAACAACAGGTGCTGGAGAGGATGTGGAGAAATAGGAACACTTTTACACTGTTGGTGGGACTGTAAACTAGTTCAACCATTGTGGAAGTCAGTGTGGCGATTCCTCAGGGATCTAGAACTAGAAATACCATTTGACCCAGCCATCCCATTACTGGGTATGTACCCAAAGGACTATAAATCATGCTGCTATAAAGACACATGCACATGTATGTTTATTGTGGCACTATTCACAATAACAAAGACTTGGAACCAAGCCAAATGTCCAACAATGATAGACTGGATTAAGAAAATGTGGTACATATACACCATGGAATACTATGCGGCCATAAAAAATGATGAGTTCATGTCCTTTGTAGGGACATGGATGAAATTGGAAATCATCATTCTCAGTAAACTATCGCAAGAACAAAAAACCAAACACCGCATATTCTCACTCATAGGTGGGAATTGAACAATGAGAACACATGGACACAGGAAGGGGAACATCACACTCTGGGGACTGCTGTGGGTGGGGGGAGGGGGGAGGGATAGCATTGGGAGATATACCTAATGCTAGATGACGAGTTAGTGGGTGCAGTGCACCAGCATGTCACAGGTATACATATGTAACTAACCTGCACATTGTGCACATGTACCCTAAAACTTGAAGTATAATAATTAAAAAAAAAAAGAAAAAAAGTGATATGAGATTAAAAAAAAAAACTGGACAAAGAATGAGAACAGACATTTTTCAAAATAAGAAATACCAATGGCCAACGGGCATATAAAAAAAATTCAACATCACTAATTATCAGAGAAATGCAAATTAAAACCACAATGAGGTATCATCTCACAACTGTTAAAATGGCTATTATCAAAAAGATGGAAGATAATAAGTGTTGGCAAGGATTTGGAGAAAAGTGCCTCCTTGTAGAGCGTTGTTGAGACTGTAAATTAGTATAGCCATCATGGAATACAATGTGGAGGTTTCTCAAAAAGTTAAAAATAGAACTACCATATGATCCAGCAATCCTACTACTGGATATATATCTAAAGGAAATGAAAACAACATCTCAAAGAGATATCTGCTCTCCCATGTTTATTTCAGCATTATTCACAATAGCAAAATAGCCAAGATTTAGAATCAATCTAAGTGTCCATCAATGGATGAATGCATAAAGAAAATGTGGTATACATACACAATGAAATGCTATATTTAGGCCTTAAAAAAAAGGAAATTCTGTCATTTGTGACAACATGTTTGAATCGATGACATTATGTTAAGTGAAATAATCCAGGCAAGAAAGAGAAATACTGCATGATCTCATTCATATGTGGAATCCAAAAAAGTCAAACAAATAGAAGCAGAGTGGGATATGGTTTCCAGGGACTTGGGGAGGGAGTGATGGGATGAGTTTGAGAAGACATTGATCAAAGGATACAAAATTTTACTTAGATAGGACAAATAAGTTCATGGGTTCTGTTGCACAACAGGGTGACTACAGTTAATACCAATCAATGGAACTCATGAAAATTGCTTAAAGAGTAGGTTTTTATTGTTCTCGTCACAAAAAATTTAAAAATGCGGGAGACAATGCATATGTTAATTAACTCAATGTATTCATTTCAAAATGTACATATTTTAAAATATGTTGTACATGATAAATATATAATTTTATCTGTCAAGTAAAATAAATATATCAACAATTTCAAAAATGAATATTTGATATTTGAGATGGAGTCTATTCAAATTTAAAAATGCTCTTACTGTTAACTTTTTTAACCCCTTCTCAATTCCATCCACCTTATATAGAAAAAGGGGAGTCTAAAATTTTCCTCTCTGAGAAATTTATTAGCCCAAGATAACAGGCCTATCAAGGCAGATATTTGGAAGTCCCTTAAGGAAACAATGAAATCTCCACACACTTACTCCCTGGTAAGGTCTACCAGCCTACAGACTCCTACCATGCACACCTTTTGATGACTAATTTTTACATTGTAAATGTAACAACAGGTCATCATCAGTCACCTGATGCATAAGTTACAGAAAACTTCTATAAAAAAGAGACAAAAGTAAAGTAACAAAAAACCCCACAAAAATCAATTGCAGAAAACACAAACAAAATATTGAGTGAAATTATAATGTATATCCTCATCTAAATAAAGTCCAATACTCATCAATAAAATAGAAATAAGATGCTATAACATTTTAAAAACTAGAAAATAAAAAGCTTTTGGAAATAGAAAAGTAGTAAAATAAAATTTTCCACTGGTATTTTAGGAAAGAAAGTTGATACTTCTACTGGAAATTAGGAGAAAAGAACTAAAAAATGAGAAATCTGAAAGAAATGAAAAGATAATCAGAATATCAATACAGGAGGACTTATTGATTATTAGTAAGTGTTTAAGAATGATAATGAGAAATGCAAAGGAGGAAATTACCAAGAAAATTTTACAAAACAAAACCAAAGAAAAAACACTGAGTTATTTTGAATAATTGGACCCTAAAAAAAGATTTATACTAAGTTATAGACTCTTCAAATCTCAAAATATTAGAGCAAAGAATACAAATCTTTTAAAGAATTCTATATGTGTATATACACACACACTCTATTGTTGTTATTCATGAATTCCATACTTGCAAACTTGCCTAGTCACTAAAATTAATTTACAACTTCAAACCAATACTCGCTGTGCTTTCTTGTCTTTCATAGAAATGCACAAAGTAGAGAGAAATGTGAGTTGCCTAATAAATGTGCATGTTTCCAGCTGGATTGAACAAGGCGATATTCCGACTTCTTACAGCTCTCCTACTGTAAACAAATGTCCTTTTCATGTTCTATTTACTCATGTTTTTTCTCATTTTTGCACTTTTTGTTGGTAATTGTGCTGTTTAAAATGGCACTGAAGCTTTGTACCGACTGCTATAAAGTATTCCCAAGCAAGAGAAGTCTGTGATGTGCCTTAGGGAGAAAATACTTGTGCTAGATATGCTTCATTCGGTCAAGTTATAGTGCTTTTGGCAGTGACTTCGATGTTAATGAATCAACAACATATATTAAATGTTTTTAAACTGTAACACATATGAAACAAGATTATATATTTATCAGTTGATG
The DNA here is from genome assembly GCF_000001405.40 of Homo sapiens. Taxonomy (NCBI): domain Eukaryota; kingdom Metazoa; phylum Chordata; class Mammalia; order Primates; family Hominidae; genus Homo; species Homo sapiens. Next base: position 71,382,133 of record NC_000013.11, on the reverse strand, counting down.
AAATGTGAGAAAAAATAATTTTTTGTTTTCAGGTACTTAAATTTAATATCTCATTTAATTTAGGGGTGTTTCCTTACATAAAAAAACAGAACCATGAGTTTAAAAAGAAAAAAGAAGGACAAAGGTGCTCACATTTGTCAAAGTCGTATAACTGCATACTTAAAATGGTATATCTTATGGTACATAAATTATCCTTCAATAAGGTTGACTTAAAAAATAAGAATCTATTAACTCCAGGAAATATAGAATCTAGAATAGAACAAAAACAAAGCAAATTCCTAGAATAATGGCAAGTGGGAGTCTTAGCATGAAAGCCTGGCAGCAGGCCTAGAAAAATCTGATCGAATTCGGGAAATAAATTGCAGCTCTAGCAGAGATGTCTTTAAAAAATAAATAACTAAATAAACTGATACAATACCAGATATGTTTGATCACATATGAAAGAAGCTTACATACTGTTGTCTAGTTTTGAGATGCCTTAGTGATAAAAGGTTATCCGAGTAAATTAGAGAATTACTAATTCTGGGAAAGATAAAAAGAACACAAGAAAGCATACACAGTCATATTATGCCACATGGTACAATTATAGGTAGCACTTGTATAGATCAATAATAATGTTAATTTTACAAAAGGAGCAATATAAACTGAGTAAAAGGGCTAAAGGTATATTCGAACGTCTCGTTTGATGTAAGGTAGTTAAAAACGAGGTGAAAAGATAATATATAAGATTTTCAAAAGAAGACATCACAACATCAAAAACATATTATTTTGTAATGTGTAGCCAAACACTAAAATTAACTGCTTCAATGTTAATTCTGTTTCTTTTTTTTTTTTTTTCTTTTTTGAGACAGAGTCTGTCACCCAGGCTGGAATGCAGTGGCAGGAATGTGGCTCACTGCGGTCTCAAGGGATCCTCCTACCTCAAAGGATCCTCCTGCCTCAGCCTCCTGTGTAGCTGAGACCACAGGCATGGGGGTCACATTTGGTTGGCCCAGTGATCTTGAACTCCTGGGCTCAAGTGTTCCTTCTACCTCAGCTTCCCAAAGTGCTGGGATTACAGGCATGAGCCATTGTACCTGGCTAATTCTGTTTCTTAATAGGAAACAAGTTTGGGGAGGGATGGGGTTAGTTCTGGCATATACATATATACATATATAAATTTACAAGATAATGAAATATATAGACTCTTTTATAAGGATGCATATCTTATATTGATAAAAATTAAAATTTAATTTAAACATTAAAAATGTAAAATAATCAGTGGAAATTCAGTATTGGAAATTGAAAGACATATTCTAGAAAAAGATTTATTTGTAATTATAGCATTTATACTATTCACTATCCAAATTTAAATATCTAATACTATATCAGGATAATTTATGATAGTGCTTAGTTTTCTTGAATGTAATTAACAAAATGTAGTGACTGCTTATGTCAGTGAGTCTATTTCTTTATTAAATTTGAAGATTTTTCAAATCTTCACTTTGGCAAGTGAGTCATTCACTTACCAATTATTTTTTCTTCTTATATCACTTTTTGGCAATATTTACCCTATATGGTTTGGCTGTGTCCTCACCCAAGTCTCATCTTGAATTATAGCTCCCCAGATTCCCATGTGTTGTGAGAGGGACCCAGTGGAAGATAATTGAATGATGGGGGCAGTTCCCCCCGAACTGTTCTCATGGTAGTGAATAAGTTTCATGAGCTCTGTTGGTTTTTTAAGGGGAAACCCCTTTTGCCTGGTTCTCATTTCTCTCTTGCCTGACACCATGTAAGACGTGCTTTTTGCCTCTGACATGATAAGCACACAGAACTGTGAGTCCATTAAACCTATTTTACTTTATAAATTACCCAGTCTTGAGTATGTCTTTATCAGGTGTGTGAAAACCAACTAATACATAACCTTTCACTTTAGTCAAAAGAGATTCTAGATTTGTCTCTTTGTCCCTTCCCTCCTATGTGTTAAAAAATTATTGGAAATAATCTTCTTTTTCTGCTTTGTTCCTTGGGCTGCCTCTCCCTCCGGGCTTGTCAAGTCAATATTTTCCTTAAAGCTATTTCAGAACCAAGGAGCAATTGATACTACAGAGTTAAGCTCTTTACCAAGTTCCAAATATTTCATCTATATTGTTTTATATCCTAATTTAAAGAGCCAGATTTTTGAAAACAAGCATAATGTATCTGACTTTTATTGTATTTCTTTACTGAATCTAGCATAGTAGTGGGAATTCAAATCTGCTGCCTGATTAGCTTGTGATGTGGGGATCCTAAGAGTTGGGAGGAAAAAGACAATGACCAAGGATTGTGGTTTTTAAGTTTCCCCTATGTAACATTCAGGGAGAAAACTGTAGGCAGGTTGGATATCTTAAATCTACAAACATCCTGAAATGGGAGAACACAGAAGGATGTTCATGCTTCAGGGGTGAGTTATGCATTTGGGAGTCATTCTTACCTTATTCTTATGAAACATTTTATAACAGGCCTCAGCCCTCACATATTCTTTGAAGTGAGCAATCACATACTTTTGAAACTAATCTGTTGTTCCAATCATCGAGTGTTTTCTCACAACCATAAACAATTTATTTCCTAGATTTAGTACTGCATTTCATTGAGTGGAGTTTACCATATGGAATACTATTTTACCCTTCCCTCTCAATCAGAGACAAAACAAGCACTGTATGTTTGAATTGTTTCATTTCTTGATCAGTTCCAAGTAGTTTTCTTCCTAATCCTTTTCTCTAAATCCTCGCATAAATGGTTGAGGAGGTAGATTTACTGGAATCAGAAAGCATTTGGCCACGGCAAACTGCCCTCTGGCAAATGAGAACATTGCTGCCAAGGGACATTTTAACAGGGCTTTCTTCTCGCATTTGTGCTGCTGTGTGAAGTTATCCTATTTAAAGACTTGTGTTTTCTCCTTGCTTTCTTTTTCCCGTACCAAGCTGTAAACATCTCCATCTCCTTTTGATTTCACTTTCATTTCATATGATTGCATGGTGTGATCTCTATGGATTTTTATTAGGAAGTTAAATCATAAGACTATTTTTTCAATTCTATTTTGCCTTCTTAACAATAAAAAAAGGAACCTAGTAAATAGTACAGAAGAACCAAGTGCTTTAGTTACTTATCTCTAGGGTGATGATATGTCTTGCTGTACCCAAGGCAGTCTTGGTTTATGCCTATTTTCCTAGAAAATTTATTAATAATGCCTCTTTCCAATATCCAAAGTGCCTGGGTTTAAACAATAGATTATTATGACCAATCTCCTCATAGAATACATAGGAATTACATGTGCATTTTTTGGCAACTATGTAGCCAGTGTCCCTCTCAGAGTAACAAAATCCAAATGATGGAGAATAGGAGAAAAAAGTCCAGCCCATTTTCTTATATTTGGGTAGTGTAGTAATATCAATGCAGCCATTTCTGCTTTTTGGTTTATTTTGTAAATATCCAAGTAGCAGCTTATGAATGTAATTTTTTAAAAGAGGGTAATGCACAAAAAGCAACATCTATCATTGAAGTCTAGATAACAGAAAGATACAGAAGCAATTTATGTTATAATTCTCATGTTTATTTTGAAAAATGAAAGCTCTTGAATTAAGTGGTTGAGGAAGACAACTGAGAAGAAAGGTTCTGTCCCACAGAATGTACACTATAATACAGACAACCTGGCTTGACTAGGAAATAGGTGTTATGTCTCATGTAAAAAAAAAATAAGAAGACCAACAAGTAATTTATAAAATGAGCTTAAGAGGACATCAAATGCTACCACCATCATTATACATAGTTGTGGTCCAAAGGGAAGGCATATAAAATAAAATGGCAGTGATAGCAATGATGAAATCAGTATTAGCATATGTGTACTTTTGACTTAAAATGTGCCCATGAGCCTATTAAGAAAATTACTGGACCCCTCATAACTTTATAATAAAGTATAACTTGGAAAAAGTACCTTGAACTCTTATAAAGGTAGACTAAAAAATGCTTCCTAAATTTATGCTATAACAAGTGATATAAATTTCCTGTGTTTTCAAACTTCTCTAAAATTATCTACCATCATTCCAAAGGGCATTCATTGACTTTGCTCACCAAAGACACTTCCTCATAATCAATATTCACCTTTACCTTTATAGTAAATTTTACAATCGTATTGTATTTTAACTGTAGAAACTTCTCTGACCTAGATTTATAGGACTTTTCACTCAAGATGCTTAGTGACGACTTCCTCAAATAAATAGGTGATAATATGCTTTGGGAATGCAAAATGATCTCTAGTAAGGCAAATAACCTAAGTAGTTCATCATTATGCATATAATCCACTCTTTTCAATTATCCATGCCACTGGTTTGCTACTTCAGCATGACTAATAAAAAGTTATTATTATTGTTGTTTCTTATTTTTCTCTATTGAATTACAACTATGAACAATTCACAAAGAAAATGAACGATTCACACCATCTCTAATGACTACTGTCATTGATTTATTTGAAGCTGATGATACAGAATTACCACACTTCGGCTAATGTTTCAGCTTTGAAATTAAATATGCATATTATTTTTTTTCAGGGATTGAAATACACCTCTTAGACATCATTGATATTTTTTATCTTGTTAACAGAATCATCTTCTGTGGATAATCACTTAAGATGCATATTTACTACATGTGGCAGACACTGCTCATCAGCTATGAAGCAGCCATTCCACTCCTCATTTTCTGTTTGTAGCAAATATATTTAAGTAGGTGGTGAGTGTAAATCCCTTAGTCCTATGGAAGAGAAGGTTTTTCTCCAGTCCCATTGTTGTATCCTGGGAATAACCATGAGTGTACATTTACTCTAGGGATCCCAAATCCCCTTTGGTCAAATTACTCCAGGAGTAAGCACTTGACAAAATTCTGGCCAATGTGACAGGAAAAAATGTGCTCCCTGTGGCTTCTTATTCAAAATAGCAGGGAAAATATTGATGAGAAGAAAGTGTTTTGCTTCATATCCCTGTTTTCTTTTTGGAGGATGCTAGAGGTGCAGTGACTGTATTGCAACCATAAGGCAAAAGTCATTAAGTCAAAAATCTAGGATGCCAGAACATAGGGAAAAAGTCTAGGCCCTTAATGACATCACTGAGCTGCTAAACTCTACCTGTATTTCTTGTTACTTGTACAACAAGTATCCTCATGATTTGAGTCATTTTTGGGCTTGATGTTGCTGCTCTTGTTATTTGCTGATGGAAGGCTTCCTCATAAATAGATGAAATAAATTGTTTTTCTTCGTTAATTTCATAAAGTCCTATTTGAAACACTCCCTTAATTCCATTCATGGCTATACTCCATTTTTTGATCTTGACTTATATAGCTATTACCTTTTGGTTCCTCTTTTCTCCAAGCTCTGAAACCAATCTCACCCAGGAAAGATAGAAAATAGAAGGTTCAATTGTCTTTTACCCAGTTATTCAAACTCAAGTGAATGTTGTATGCAGATTCCACAATAACCATGCTCCTTGATTCCATTAACTAGGTTTGTTTTTTCTTCTAGAGTGAACTTCCCTGGTATAGCATGCTGGTCAAGTGCATGGACTAGTTTCAATTCTCTACTGTGTCATTTATTAGTTTTTGTGAATTGAGCAGGTGAGTAATTTGTATGTGATTTTGGTTTCCCGATCTGTGAAATGGAGATAATACAACTAGAGATGAATGTGAAGACGAAGTAAAAACATGCTTAGTTCAGGGTCTGGTGGTATGACTTGCATGAATGTCACTGTTTTACAGTTTACTATATGGAGATTCAGGGGGATTTAGTAATTGTCCAAGATCACACAGACATTATGAACCCGGAAGAGATGATATTTAAGCCATGTGTCTCCACAAACTAAAATTTTATTCTTTCCATTCTAGTGTCCTGGCATATTTCTATGTTTATTTTTAGTAGGTTCACTCTTTTCTCTTATTTTCCTGAAAGGAATTCTGCTAGTGTAACCCGTGCACATTCTTTAATCCTCACCCTCACTCATCCTCATGGGGGTGGAGGCAAATCAACTGGCATTACTTCTCTCAGCTTCTTAGTGAAAAAACTTGCAGAACATCGAAATTTTGAAAATACTAGACCAGGATACTATACAGCCATTTGCTTTGCCAGGTTATTGAAACAAAATAATAGCATTTGTTGGTGATGGTTGTTTGTCTTTGTATTCCATAACCCCGAAGTCCTGTGGTTTGGAATTAATCTTATTTTGTATTAACTTCTTTTAATGCCCCTTCAAGAAATAAGGTAATATGAAGTAGTTTAAGGAATGAATGACAATAGCCAAATAATGATGGTTCTTTCTGAAAGGTGGTAAAGAATTAAAAGCACATCTTTTCCACTTTTGCACCTAAATTTTATTCTTTTACATCTGGTGCCTTGTGAACTAGTAGGAGGCACAGAATGAATCATTTTTGCACTATCATTAACATAATGCCCATGTGCAGATTTTCAGTTTGATAAACTGTTGGCATGTAAATATTTCCTTGAAGAAATTTCAGTCCAGATGCTTTTGTTTACAAATCTATCAATGGTTAAAACCATAGAGTGTATTTTGCCCATTTCTGAATTATAATTACATGTCTAATGGTGAATTAATTATAAAAGAGGAAGACAAAACTACGCATAAATATTTTCCCATTTCTGGACTCACACCAGGTTTCTCTATATTCATGAAATGTAATATTTTGCTTTCACATGACATAACCTTACATTTCTGCGTTTATAGGTACAGATAGTTAGATAAAATGTATTTGAGTGATGATTTGATTCTTAGGAAGACTGCTTATTCCCTTGTTTTACTTTCTTCTCTAGACCGCTTAATCATTCCAAGGCTCTAATTAAGATTAGATTTTGATATGCCAGTCACACTAACATTCTAAACTGACCTGAATATTGTATATCTGTAGCTTTCCAATGTTTTCATCACATGCAATCAAAATGATTCTACAGTTGTGTTGTTCTGCTTTTCCTCTATGAAACACAACCACCAAATATAGAAATCCACAAATTAAAACAAATGGTGAAAAAACACCAGTCCATGGGGCTGTGAGTGTTCATTTGTGAGAGTTTACCAGTAATACAATCACACTGGTGAGAAGAGATCATCTATACTGTTCAGTCCACTTAAAAGGCATCTCCTTATGCATTGTGCCTGCAACACAACAGACATATAGTGAATGAGTCACACTGGATAGCCTGGGAAGGCTGGTGTGTGTGTGTAATTTTGTGCCAAGGGGGCAAGTCTGAGTGAACTGATGCTAAATACTTCCTGTTTCCATGTCTGTCCTGGAGCGCTAAGAAAGGGCATGTGGGAGATTTCAGGAGGTGGCTGTCATGTGAGGTCAAAGGTAGAGCATTCCTAGCTCAGAGAAGAAGCTTTGATTCCTTTCTGTCCCAGAAAGCTGCTTTTCTGTGTAGCCCGGAGGGCCTTTACCAGGCATTCAAATGATCTGCAGAAACTCATTCACAAAAACTCTTAAATCATCTGTAAATCCCAAGATACAAAGTCCCTAGCCTAGAGTAGCGACCCAATAAATGTTTATAGAACAATGGATCTAAGCTGAAGATCCCAATAGATTTTCTGTGACAGTAGCAGATAAAGCTGCAAGCATAGTGGACTCTTTGTGAAGCAGGCAAAGCTTTGGAGTCCATCTCTCCCCTCAGCTCTGGCTACTTATCTCCTAGGTGCCAATGCAGGCACCTTCTCAGCATCTTCAAAAGACAACAGGAACAACAGCAAAAATAACAATACAAGCGGACATAACAGAGATTGGCACTTCGCTAAATGCTTTTGAAGCATTATCACATTTAATCTTCAAACACCCCTTTGAGGTAGATGCCGCTATTGTTCCCAATTTAAAGAGAAGAAAACTATTGTATAATTCTCCAGAAAAGAAAACTGAAGCATCTATGTGGTGGCACCCGAACCCAAGCCTGGTTCTGTTTCAGTTTCAACCCTCTGTGGTGAGTTAAATCCTATCTATACCAGAGATTCTATGATTTGCCTCTGTGATGTACTCATCTGAGATTTTTGCTAAATGTGCATACACTTAGGCTTTAATAGGGTAGAAATCTAGGAAGCAGTACTTAAATAATCACAAAGTTTAATTTAAGCGGTCTTAGGGCCTCAACTCATGCAACAGTGAGTAGAAGTTACTAATTTTAGAGTAATTTTTAAGGGGCTTTAAAAATGAGACAATGTTGAATAGTAGTACCATTCCAAGAGAGAATTTAGCGCTGATAACTCTCCCAGCATTTGAGATGTGGGCCCAGATTTAAGAGAAAAAAAAATTCTCCCTAAATCAATATATCACCCAATAAATTTATATGTAAGTCACTCATATTAGCTTTTTCTTGCCTATCAGGCAATTTATGTATAAAGTTCTGAAGTTTTATTATCAAACTGATAAATTGAATTTCCCCCCTCTTGTAATGGAAATTCCTTTTGTAATCAAATATTTCTTTCTTTCTTTTTGTTATTACACAAATAATACAGGATATATTTTAAGGAAAGGGAAAAAATAATCAACTCAAACAATACACAGGTTATAAAGTGAAAGTCTGCCTTCTTGCTCTCCCTACTTTAGCATCAAATTATATTTATCTCGACATTTATCACTGTATATATATATATTCCCATATAAACAAATATACACAGTTTTTATTATGATTTTTTTTCAGTAGTTAGCTTTTTTGTCATTAGTAAACAGTTTATCATGGACATCAATATAAAACAGAACACGTTTACCTCTACTTCATTATTTTAATAGCTGATTATTCCCTAGAGTGATGCAAATATTTTTAAATTTTACTTCTACCGATGAACATTTATAATAGGTATATTTTTCTCAGTCAAAAACTAACCCTAAAGTTAACATATTAAGAAAATCTCTTGGCCGGGAGCTGTGGCTCACTCCTGTAATCCCAGCACTCTGGGAGGCTGAGGCGGGCGGATCACCTGAGGTCAGGAGTTTGAGACCATCCTGGCCAACATGGTGAAACCCCGTCTCTACTAAAAATACAAAAAGTAGCCAGATGTGGTGGCAGCCACCTGTAATCCCAGCTACTCGGGAGGCTGAGGCAGGAGAATCACTGGAACCCAGGAGGCAGAAGGCTGCAGTGAGCCAAGATCGCACCACTGCACTCCAGCCTGGACGACAGAGCAAGACTCCGTCTCAAAAAAACAAACAAAACAACAACAACAACAAACCAGAATCTCTTGCGTTTTGTATAGTATTTGTATCATTTTAAGTCAGAAAATACATATAACAGAAAGATAACAATGTTTTCCTTTATTGGATTGATTGAAAGAACATGCTATGCATGTGTGTGTGTATGTATGTTTTTCCTTGTGTTTGATTAGCGATATGTCAAAGTCGGCTAGCTCATCCTCCTATCTTTTCCTTTTTTTTCTTTTCTTCCCTTGGGCACAAGTCAGGCTACTTTTCCAGGCTATTTTTGTAGCCAGGTGCAGCCTTATGACTGAGTTCTAGCTACAGGTATGTCAGTGGGGTAAAGTACCCATTTCCAATCCCTGCCCTGTCCATGCAAATGCCCACTTGCAATCCATATTCCTTCTCTGCTCCAGACTTGATACAGACCACGATGTGTTGAAGATGGCAGGAACCTAAGAAGGAAAGAATCCGAGTCCCTGGATCACTATGTGTGTGAGAGTTACCTGCAAATATTGAAATCCCATGTTGGACTTTGAGTGAGAAATAAATAATTATTGTACTAGATCGATATTACAATTTGGGGTTTGCTTATTGCTGCAACTTGCAATACGTGCCACCTACCCCCCACTTTGAAAAAAATTGTGATTAAATATATTTCGCTTAGGTAATATTGAAGAGGTTTTTAAAAAAATCACCTAGTTTATTCAAAATCTTGCAGACCTGGTCAATTTTTTCTTCTGTTTATTATATTCTATTTAGGTGTTCTTTATAGAATCTATTTTTAATCAATTGCATATTTTTCCCTGTTTTCTACACAATGAGATCTCCTTATGTTCATATTTTAGGACTGACTAGCATTACTTTGAAGAGAACTAATAGGAATTTTAAATAACAGTGAAACTATTATCGTCAAATAGATCTCGAAACTATAATATCTGACATAGACATGACTGATATACTATATGCAAGATGGAAAAAACAAAACAAAACTGCTGACTCAAGACAGCATGGAGGGCCCTCTCTGGAACTCATCAAAAGACTATTTGATAGATCTTAACCAGCATCATCCTGTAAAGAAAAAGAAAGATTTGCTTAAAGGGATTGTGTATACTCATGTTTTCTGAGTAAAGAGAATATTTTATACTTTTATAAAGTCTTGCTAGAGGCTTCCCAAGCCTAAGAAGTTTATATTTTAAGAAACTGTAAAGTAATTCATATGGAGAAAAATTGAGAACATAATAGCCAAGTGCGCACAATATCATGCCATTGCACAGAGCCAGATTTTTGCATAAATCATATTTGACAGAATTTTCAGCTATCTATATGCTTCATTTGGCTATACTACATTTAATGAACTTATGCCACAAGCAACTTTTCAAATGATGATAACTAGGAAAAACTGACAACCTTAAAGAAGTAAACTTGACAAATGAGTGAATAAAAATCCAACAAGTTGTGTAAATGCAATTTCTCCATCACAAAAAATGAATGGTTAATGGCCATTCAACTCTGCATTAGCCAACACTAAAAGGCTTATTCTGCTCATGATATACAAATAACCACCTTTAGCATTATTGAGAATTATGCAACAACAGATACAGTATACTACTTTCCTATAAAGGGAATTTAAGAGTTATGAGCTGACTATTTATTTGACTTTGAATTACCCTTGGCTTTAGTAGTCTTCAGTTAAAGCCTCACAAGTAATTATCCAGGGGCAAATATGAAAAAGGCAGTAAGTTATTTGAGTAGTTTTAAAATCCTATGTTTCTAATTTTATGAATATTATTGTTAAATAATGGAGAGATGGGCTCAGAAAAAAATTTTCTTACAAAAGTTAAATATGCAAGTAAAGTTTCTAACTTAGATTGTAAACAAGGGCCATGTATAATTTGCCTTTCATTATCCTCCCAAACAGAACTTAGCAATTGTCATTTATTCTTATTCCAAAAACAGGACAGAATAGATTGATAATAATTGGTAATTTGAAGCTTAGGCTGTTCTCTTTTTATTTCAAGCATCATATTCTCCAATGCAACTGATAAGAAAATACACCTAGAATTTTATAAAACTCAAGGATTTAGAAAAGTTGAAAAGTTTCTTTAAGACATATATTTAACAGTAGACTTTAGTTTGAAAAAGAAAAGTTGCAAAACTCTAAATTAGTACAGATAAATACATAAATACTTGTGTAAAGATCTTTTAATAAAAATATAATTGTGATTTTAGATAAAGAATATTGGCTCAAAGAGTTAATGCAACTTGTCAAAAGATACCCAACAGTTAAATTTTAGAGTCCAGATGTGGACCTGGGCCGATCTGATTCCAAGATGATGGTTTTCCTACTACAAAGACTGTATGTCAAAAAGATGGTTTTTTGAATTAAAATTCACAAAGAGAAAAGTGGACTTTCAGTGAAAACCTTTTGGTGGAGAGTAAAAGATGAGAGAAGCAGAAATAAAATATGCTACAGAGTGCTAGGATAGACAAACAATATGCAAAATGCTTCCCTAATGCATATCATAAAACAGGCAACGTATCAATATTAGTAATGATGGAGGGCTGTATCTGTCAGAAGCCTTATTCTGCTAAGAACAGAACATCTGATAAAATTCTTGACTTGCCTTATTAAATCTTGCATCATGAAAAACGTAGAGAAATCAATATGGGGAATTGCAACTCAGGACGCTATTATGATGAGTAAAGAAAATTGCGAGTGGAAGCAAAATGATCTCTGGGAATAAGTGACCATGTCATATTTGAGTGTATTAAAACCAAAGACCTGAAGGCTCGAAGTCACAAGACACAAATTCAGGACTTTACAAAAGTGTATTTCATAATATTGAAAGGAAGATAGTTATGGCTCTATTACTGGCTCTAAAAATGAAAATGGCTTAAGAGATATGCATATTATATAAAATAGGCTTCTAGTGGTGACATATTATAATATTTAATATTTAGAAGCAGTATTATTACATTGTAGTAAATAGCATCATATATATGTGTATACACATACATATATAACTAAAAAACTAATATAAACAGGGATATATATGTAGTACACACCATAAATATGATACTGCTATAAACAAAAATGAAATTCATAGATCCTCCCACGCCCCACAACCATTCAAATGGACTTCCTCCTCTACAGGGAGCTCTAAAATTTAACCTGAAAGACTGGCTCAGGTCATGACGGAAAACGGGAGTTGGACACGTCTCATTATATCCTTCCAGCAGTAACATCAACACTTACCTTATGTCTGATAAGAAACATTTACAGTCTTTTCTTTAAAGTCTGCTACTTGGAAGCTTCATCTGCACGATAAACCTTAGGTCTCCACAACGGCTTATCATAACCCAGACATTCCTTTCTACAGTTAATAGCTCTTTCAACCAATTGCCAATCAAAATATGTTTAAATCTACCTATGACCTGGAAGCCCCTGCTTCGAGTTGTCCTGCCCTTCAAGATCAAGCCAACGTAAATCTTACAAGTGATTGATATATTATGTCTCCCTCAAATATATAAAAACAAGTTGTACCCCTATCAGTTTGGGCACATGTCATCAGGACTCCTAAGACCTTCACTGGCATGTTCTTAACCTTGACAAAATAAACTTCCTAAATTGTTTAAGACTTGTCTCAGATACCTTCCGGTTTATACTGTATATATTATATTTGTATATCTATATTAGTTCAGATGTTAACTTGTAATTTTGTTTTCTTAAGTAATGATTAAAAACAACTTTAGCAATGTAGAGACTCTGTATCTTTGGTCTGATTTGGACCTAGCTCTTCTTTGATCTGCTTGATTGTGTTGATTCCTTCTTAAATGTGGCCTTCGGTGTTCTTTTTCTCACAGTAGCTTATGGTGGAGTGGTTAGTGTGACCACTACCTTGTCTACGGGTCTTTAAAAATCACAATCCTTTGGACTGCATTTGATCTTTCAGATACAAAACTTTCATCAAAATGATATTTCCACAAATGCAACTTTTCTTCAATATACCTTCTGAACAATGCTTTTTTAAGTTACAGGTCAAAAAGCATGCCTCTTTTCTATATATGTATTGCCTTCATTTTTGGCTATTTCATACCACTGCAAAGATTATTAACAGCCCGTACAATCACAAACACAGGATAAAATCCATTTCTTAATACTTATTTGGGCAACTTGTTACTTATATAACAAATATATACTTTGCTGATTGCTATCTATAATTATCTCCATACTAATTACTATCTGTAATTCTTTAGTGTGGCAGAGACATCATGCTCACTTAACATTCCATCTGTTTTCACATTTCCTAGCATTTTAACAATTATGTAAGGCCATGTGGTTAGTTCTGGTCAATGGGCTGTGGGCAGAAGGGACATATGACACTTTTTGGCCAAAGTATACAAGAGTTAGTGCATGACCCTCTGGCCATCTGTCTCTCTACCACAGTAAACATGGTTGTCTCATTTGAAAGGGGTAACCACTATATTAAAGTAGTCTGGGTGACTGATTCATCACACAGAGGAAAACTGTCCTGAAATAGAAAAGGCAAATGATAGCCCTTGGGTAAAATTCATCTCACAATCTCTTTCTATGAACAGTGATTTTTTTTTTTTTTTTTTGCAACACACGGCCATTCATTTACTTATTATCTATAGCTACTTTTATATTACCATGACAGAGTTGCCACAGAGACTGTGTAGCCCACAAAGCAAAAAATCTGAACTTTTACTGAAAGTTTTGCCAACACTTGATTTAGAGTATCAATTAGTAACATGGGATCATTCTGATATCTTAATAGTGAATCAGAACTAAGACCTTTAACATCATAAATATATTTCTAAAATATTCTCCAATATATTTTTATAAATGATCATACAACTGCACCTGTTAAAGTAAAAGGTATGTCTCCAACAGTATATAACAATAACTTATTTCTAAACAAATAACATATTTTAAACCTAATATACAAAAGATAAAATGAAATACAAGCACTATTATTTAAATAAATCAGGCAACTTATGCTAAAGATGGGATTGGATGCTTTTACAATAGAAATTTCCCAGCATATTTTTTCCAGTTTGCTTTGACAATATCAATTCATTTTCACTACGAATTTAAAATATTTTTTCCTGCCCCTATGGGGTATTAGTAAAGCAAGGCAAATATAGTGATTGATTTAGAAACTATATATTTTTAGCCTGTGCATATTGCATAGGAGAAAGTCATATCTGAAGTATAATTTAAATAATAATAATCTGAATTATTTCAAAGAAATGTAAAGGAGAGAACTGGATCATGAGAGTCATTTGTATGTTTATGTGTTTGTGTGTCAATTTCATAACATTACATGGAATCAAAGATAAGATACTACCAGGCCTTGTACTTATAAAAAAGGTTAAATATGACAACCTTTTTTAACCAGCAAAAATCTACAAATAGAAATACAAAAAATTAGCCGGGCGAGGTAGTGGGCGCCTGTAATCTCAGCTACTCAGGAAGCTGAGGCAGAAGAATTGCTTGAACCCCGGAGGCAGAAGTTGCAGTGAGCCGAGATCACACCACTGCACTCCAGCCTGGGCGACAGTGCAAGATTCTGTTACAAAATAAATAAATAAATAAATAAATAAATAAATAAAAATAAGTTGGATTATACTTTAAAATAATCTCATCTATAATTTTTGCTTTATTTCTGTCTTTTTGAGTAAAATAATGCTGATAATATAACTAATAATTAACACTTTCTTGATAAAGCTTTTTCTTATAAACTTGAACGAGTTTTGGATTTGTGTGACATAAACATATGAAAGCATTTTTATCAAGGGATATTTTCACGTGCTTTCTGGTAACTGTGGTAACTATTAACCTTCATAAGATAAAAATATTTTAGCCAGTTCTGAAAATAAAATATTATCTGTTTCTCACATGTTGTCTCCAGTACTCTTGTTATCAATTTTGTTTCCTTATGAAAGTTTTCCAATGTCATTGTCTCTTCTTAGAGAAATTATTCAGAACTGCAGCCCCTACAGCCAGGAATTATGTATAAGGTATCAGTCACATGCCATTACTTGTTTTAACCCACACGTATACATATATACTTGCACATGTACACACACACAACACACACACATGCAAACATATATCCCACACACAGAGCTTTCTTTATTTGAAGCAGTAATTTTCAACAATCATGGCTGCCAAATATAAACACATGGGTAGCACTGAAAAAAAAAAAAAAAAGCCTGTGTCGTTTCCCCTCTCAGAACAAGTAAATCTAAATTTCTGGGCTATGGTAGGCAGGCATCAGCATTTGTATAATTTCCCCAATTCAAGAAAATACAATTTGATAATACAATAAGGCATATCTTCATATTAGGGGAATTTACAACTTAATTACATTTAAAGTGGCATCATACCATCTAATAACAACCAAACATATGGTTTTCTTGACATAAAAACATATATAGTAAGTTGAAACTTTAGATATATGGAATTCTTCTTTTGAGTTGAAAATGGTTGAATGGATGAGATAAACTCAGCTTCTATGTATAGTTAAAATTGGCATGAAAGGTATCGAATTTCTGTCAAGATTGTTGTTCATTAATCTGCCAATACACCAAAAAATTTTTATAATTTGTATTTTTCATTTTGAGCTAAGATATGGTAATAATTTATACTTGTAGGAATATTATACTGTGGAAATACCAATTAACATTTCATCTTCATATGCTACATGTATAAGTGTACAATTTTTGGAAATAAGTTGAAATATATTCTTCTGATTTTATATCTAATGGTTTGAATGTGTCTCCACAAAATTCTTGTGTTGGAAACTTAAATCCTTTGCCCTTATGAATGGATTAATGAGGACTCTGCCCTCGTGAATAAATTATGTCACAATCATGAAAGTAGGTTTGTTATTGTAGGAGTGGCTTTGTTATAAAAGTGTTGTCTCTCTCTGATTGTCTTCCTTTTGCCTTCTTGCCATATGAATATCTTCTGCCATGTTATGACTCAGCACGAAGGCTGTTGCAAGATGCTGGCACCGTGCTCTTGGACTTCCCACACTCCAGAACCATAAGCTAAATACACTTATTTTCTTTTGAAATGGAGTCTCGCTCTGTTGCCCAGGCTGGAGTGCAGCGGCACGATCTTGGTTCACTGAAACCTCCTCCTCCCAGGTTCAAGCAATTCTCATGCCTCAGCCTCCCCAGTAGCTGAGATTACAAGCACCCCCCACCATGCCTGGCTAATTTTTGTATATTTAGTAGAGACAGGGTTTCCCCATGTTGGCCAGGCTGTTCTCAAACTCCTGACCTTCATTGACCCACCCATCTCGGCCTCCAAAAGTGCTGGGATTACAGGCGTGAGCCACCATGCCAGGCCTAAAGATTTTTTTTTTGTTTTTAATACATTACTCAGTCTATGGTCTTCTCTTATAGCAATAGAAAATAACCTAAGACGGGAAATTGGTACTGAAAAGTGGTATTGTTGCTTCAACAAATACCAAAATCTGTGAAAGTGGCTTTGGACATGGGTAGTGGGCAGAGGCTGGAAGAATTTGGAGGCTGAAAGAATTGGAGGACAGGCTAGAAAAAGGCTGTATTGTGATTGGAGAGTTAAGGGTGATTCTGGTGAAGTTTTAGAAGATAAGTCCAGAGAAGAATTGAAACTTCTAACAGATTACTTAAGTATTCTTGACTAGAATGTTGATAGAACTATGGACTGTAAATGCCATTCTGATGGGCTCTCAGATGGAACTGAGGAACAAGGTATTGAGAACTGGAGCAAAGGCTATACTTGTTATAAAGTAGCAAGGAAATCAGCTGAACTGTATTGCTACCCAGCGACTTTATGGAAGGTGAAATTTATGAGTGACAAACTAGGCTATTTGGCAGAAGAAATATCTAAGCAGCAAAACTGCATGGCTACTTTTAACTGCTTATAGTAGAATAAGAGAAAAGAGATGGTTTAAGAACAGAATTTATACAAAAAAGAAAAAAGGGGGAACATAGAGAAAAGATTTGGAAAATTTTCAGGCTGACCTTGTGATAGAGGATGAAAAAGAAAAATTATCTTTCTTCCAACGGTGTGATGAAGCAATTGATTAATAAGGAGATTAGTATGGATAAAAGAAAGTCAAAGGCAATTCATCAGAACAATGGAAGAAAAACTTGAAAGCCATTATCAGAGATCTTTGAGGCTGCCCTGCCCATCATATGCCCAGAGCTATAGAAGAGCAGAATGGTTTTGAAGGATGGGCCACCGCTCAGGGTTGCCTTGGGTTTCTGCTCCCTGCATTCTGGTGCAGTGCTCCTTGGCTGCCCGAGCAATGGCTCAAATGGCTGCAGGTGTGTGGCTCAATCCCCTGATTAGGAAGGCACAAGTCATAAACCTTGGTGGCATCCATGTGGTGCTAACCCTGTCGGTATGCGGAATGCAAAAGCTGTGGATGGCTCTCTCCATCTAGATTTTAAAGGATGTCACCCAGGGACTCAGGCCACCTAGGGGCCCCGGCAGAGACTTGTCACAAGGGCAGAGCCATCAGAGAGAGCCTGGGCCTAAATGTGGGATTAGATCCAGGCTACTACAAGGGGAACCAACAAAGGCAATGCCTAGTGGAGCCCCAAGGGGAGGGCCATCCCAAGACCCTAGAAATGTACAGCTACCCACATACAATGCCAGCTTTACAGAACTGCAACCATGAGACTCCAACCTGTGAGAAGAGTTACTTGGGCTGAGTCCAGCAAAGCCATAAGAGTGAGATCTCTGAGACTTTGGGAGCCCAAATCTCCACTGCGTTCAGGAGACAACATATGTGATGGTTAATATTGAGTGTCAATTTGATTGGATTGAAGGATGCAAAGCATTTTTCCTAAGTGTGTCTGTGAGGGTGTTGCCAAAGGAGATTAACATTTGAGTCAGTGGACTAGGAGAGGCAGACCCACCCTAAAGCAGGTAGAGGAACGTGGAAGGACTAGACTGGCCGAGTTTTCTGGCCTCCATCTTTCTCCTGTGCTGGATGCTTCCTGCCCTTGAACATCAGACTCCAAGTTCTTCAGCTTTTGGACTCTTGGAGCTGCACCAGTCATTTGCCAGGGGTTCTTGGGCCTTCGGCCACAGACTGAAGGCTGCACTCTCACCTTCCCTACTTTTGAGGTTTTGGGACTGGGACTGGATTCCTTGCTCCTCAGCTTGCATATGGCCTATTGTGGGACTTCACCTTGTGATCATGTGAGTCAATACTCCTTAATAAACTCCCTTTCATATATACATCAATCCTATTAGTCCTGTCCCTCAAGAGAACCCTGACTAATACAGCACATAAAGTGAATAATCTTTCTGAAGCTTTAAGGTTTAGTGTTCTTTTCCCTGTTGGATTTTGGACTTTCTTGGGACGAGTAGCCCCTTTATTCTTGCCTTTTCCTCTTTTCTGGAATAGGAATAGCTATTCTATGCCTGTCCCACCATTGTATTTTGGAAGTAGATAGCTTGATTTGATTTTGCAGGTTCACAGTTGGAGGGAATTTGCCATGGGATGAATCATGCCTTGAATCTCACCTATATCTAATTTCAATGAGATTCTAGATTTGGACTTTTTAGTTAGTAGTACTGGAATGACAAATTTTTCAGGCTATTGGGATGAAATTAATGTGTTTTGCGTGTGAGAAGACCATACATTTGGATGGCCAGTGGTGGAATGCTATGGCTTGAATTAGTCCCTCAAAAGTTCATGCTTTAGAAAGTTTGTTCCTCTGCCATCATGAATATGTTAATGTTTGGTCCTCCCTCATGGATGGATTAATGTTGCTATCTCAGGAGTGGATTTGTTATAAAAGTGTGCTCACTCTGGCTCTCTTTGTCTTACTCTCTCATGATGTGAATACCTTCTTCCATGTTATGATGGAGCATGAAGGTCATTGTCAGATGACAATACCATGGTCGTAGACTTCCTAGCCTCCAGAATTGTGAGCTAAGTAAACTTAAGCTTCTTTTTTAAAAAATAAATTACCCAGTCTGTGCTATTCTGTTATAGCAACAGAAAATTGACTAAGACACTGTAAGTCTATGTCATGGGTGCTATTCTCTAAAATAAACTAAATGCACAAAGATATTTATAGAAAGATATGTATGTTGTGAAATATCGATTAAAAAGCTAAATATATAAATATAGTGAATAACCAATATTATGATGCCAGTGAAATAACCATTAATAATCATATATTTGAATACTTGGTCATATGAAAAGGTCAAGATATAAAAACCAGAATGTAAGATGATTATCATTGAATAATCTCAATTATGTTAAATGACTTACTTTTAAGAAAAAAATAAAAGCCTGTAGCTTTTAACTCTACAAGGAAGAGTAGACCAGCAATAATCTACACCAGGGAGGGTTTTAAAAAACCAAGAAGTGAAGTGGCATATAAATCTTTGGTAAGCTGAGTTTACCTATGTCACAATTTTGTTTATAATTGACCATATTTATAGCCTCAAAGCTATGATATAATTAAGAATGAGAGCTTTTCAACGTCATGCTTTTGATGCAAATCAGTTCAAAGATGGCCGGCATTCTTGCAATGCAAAGTCAGGCAATAGGTGAAGCACCAGGTTGAAAGACCTTGGAGTATTTGGAATAGAATAAATAGAAATTCACTAACATTGCTGAGGTGTTATGGTTACTGGGATATGGGATATCTTTTCTGTCTTGGATAACATCTGCAAGGACTCTTGGAAGGCAACTTTAGTTCTTCTATAGGTAAAATGCCTGAATAATGCAGTTCCTGAACATGACAAGAACAAGGATTATTGTTTTTTATTTATTTGTGTTTTGCTTTATTCCAATTTGTTTTCTGTTTTACCTACTTATGTTTAAAATATAAATGCTGTCTTTCTCTAGAAATGTCAAAATTGGTCAAATTTCAATGAAGAAATTTGTTTGAGTAATTGAAATAAATGCCTTTGAATTTTTATTTCTTTAAAAGCACAGGTAGTACTAGATGAGCCTGTCTCCTGCAGACATTCACGATTATTTATTTACAAGAATTGGCAGCCCATTTGGTGTTTTTCAATAGGCAGAATAAGATGGTTTTATATCTCGGAAGCCTTTTGATTTAAATGACAGACAAAGCAATTCAGACAGAACAGTATTAATGAAGAAGACTGCTAAATCTTCACAGTGCTAAAGGGTTATGAACAAGACAATATTGAAGTTGGTTTCTTCATAGTCTTTTTAGCATTTCACAGTTTCTTAAATACTCTTGAATTTCGTGGGTCACCTTCGTGATGAATCTTTAGTAAAATTTTAAATAACAAATGAGTTTTTAGAAAACATTTTTATTATTAATTTTATAAAAGGAAAAGAAAGGCGTACATTTCCTGAAATACAATAAATTTCCATTAGTCTTTTAAAATTAGGTTCTAGGGACTTAAATGTCATTTTAAAAGGGCCAAGAGTATTTGGAACAAATCTAGAAATTCTAGAAATTTGAAAAGAAAAAATGATTTTCCTCACAGTTTGGCCTAAGACTGGCCCTGGATCTCTGATTTTGAATGACCTCCAAATATAGATTTTCTACCATTTGCCGTAATAAAGAATACCATGCTAATAGCTAGTAAAGTAAGTTTGGGCACATTATTGATTAACTCTATTGTTCACACACTTCCTTGAAAATATTTGGTTACATGATTCATTCACTTTGCACTTAATCAGTCTGTGAATTATGTGACTAACCATGATAGGCCAACCGTGTGAATGATAAATTTAAGGAATAGAGTTTTCTGATGCATTTTATCTTCCAAGTACATTATCAAAAATGAAATGCCTCTAATCCTAAGGAAATATAGTGTAACTCTTGGCAGCCTACTACTAGAACATATTTTTATTCATGAGGGAACAGGGCAATGCTTGCTTTTTAGAAAGTGATATGCTTCTCTCTATCTGTGAAGCAAATTTGTTATTATATCTATAATGGGAAGCAAATAACATGTCTTACCATAAGTTTACATTCCTGGTAGCCATTACCATAATTGAGGGTATTGAAATGGTGGAAAATATTAGTATGTAGAAGAATGGCAGAAGAGGATGCAACCTGAAGGGGAAACTGGGCTTGTTGATGCCCCAATGTTTTCCAGTTCATGGGTCTAAGAACAGGGACACATTTCACATGTTTGTTTTTATTCCCTTTTGTATAAGAGCATAGCCACTCTAAGTCTTCATCAAAATGAAAGAAAAGAAAATAAACAAACAAACAAATAAAATACCACCAAGAGGCCATGATAGCAAATCAATTTGATTAACAACCAGACAAATTAGTGAAAAATGTTACAAGATTGTCTGAATTGATTGGTGGCTTGACAGAACTGAGGAATCAATATAATGGCAGCTTCATAGGGAAGTGATATAATCAACAGGTAAATGGTAGAACTCTGGATAAAGTATGTAAATAATGGTAATTTTTAGGTGCCACTTCATCACGTCATCAAGCCAGAAGATTATTATATTAAGTATATCTTCCAGAAGGCTTCATAATAACTACTATGTATTTGGCATTAAAAGTGGATAGAGCCTATATTCCACTGTGATTATTATGCAGTTTACATTGCACCTAAGTCTGTCATGTTCTATTTTGTGTGGTGTGAATGCAATAACCCTCTAATTTCTATTACTTTTGGCATGCTTATTCAAGTCCATTCTGCATGAGTCATTTAAAATCATCTTTTATATAAACACAAACCAGAAAATGTTAACTCTCCTTATCAGAATGCTCAATGTTTCATCCAAAAGTCAAGTTCGAAAATGTCAAAGTGGCTTACAAATCTATATATGTTCAGAATTCTGTCTGTGCTCTGTTTTGCAGTACCACTCTAAGTTATTTCTTACAAGACTCCAATTTTACCAATGTGCCAGTCTTCCTAAAAGAGTCTTGGGACATTCTGTTTCCTAAAACTTCAGCTCACCTGATTTTGCCTATCTTTGAATCCCATACTGTAATGAATATAAGAGAAACATTTCCTGACTCCCAAAACTAGGATAGATTTTGCTATGCGTTTATAGATTAACCTATATTTCTCTCCTGGCAAGAGTTACCACATTTCTAATGACTCACTCAATTTCTACTGCTTGCTTTTAAGATCCATGCTGGAAGGACTGGGTATGTTCCCCTCGCTCATTAATCCATAGCTTCTATAACTCCGTATGGCTATGAATGCAACGGTTATAGAACAAATATTTCAAGGAAATCACATACTGATAAAAAAAGCAAGTAGAGAGCTTAAAAATTTGTTTGGTTATCAAAATACTTTTACCTAATATTTTATATTTAACATAGCTATAATATAGCTGTTTAATTCCAAGCTATTTAATTCATCCATTGTAGAATGCAGTTTCTTTCCCCAGGAAGCAGTGATACTTTTTCCTTGCTCCATTGCACATAAACCAATTCATTCATTTGCAAGTGATTTCATTCATTCATTCATCCATCCAGCTAATATTTATTGATCATCAAATGCCAAAACCTGGAGCCTTAGGTATGCATTACTGAATATTGAGTTTTCCTTTTGAATAGCTAATTGTACAGTGGAAAAGATGAGTCAGTAGCAAATAATTACTATATGATTTTATCATTTCTTGAATAAGAGAAAATATGGTAGTTATGGGACCACTTTAGCTTTCCATCAGTTGTTTCACAATTATGTAGCTACAGCCTCACAGCTCTCTTTTTGCTCACATTTTATTGAAAAAATGGGTAAACAATTATAAAAAAGTAAAGAAAGATAGCCTGAGATAAATAACACTCTAAACTGCATTTGCTTGCCTCATACCATCCTCATCAAACTCACATCATGCTTAACAACTGTCTTTATCATCTGATTGCATTTCCTCCCCATAAATAGTAGGAATATTATTCTTTACTTCATTACCTGATCTCAGATACAGTAAGTTTTTTTTTTTTCTGACACTAGTAGATCATCAGAGAACTGTGTACAATATCTAGGTATTCCTATGAATACATATTTTGCATGATATACCAAAATCCCTTATATTTTTTCTAATTTGCAGTGCATTAATAAAGAATCCTTATTTATTTTCTGGTTTTGTCAAACAATTTATAGCTTCTTAAATAATCATGTTCCTAAAAAAGTACTGACATAAATTCAAACCACTAACATTGTTTAAAGTAGAAGTTTCAGATGATTTTGTCATGATATTACCTCCAAGAAATACATTTCCCAGTGTAGTCGATGGTTATTAGTTTATTTACTAAATGAATATTTTCCACGATGAGTTTCTATAATCTTAACCCAACTTAACATTTTACTTTTCTTTTTTGCCTACAATGAAACATTGAGTTGACATCCTCATTGAGTTGATCACATCAATACCTGGATGTTTTCTTTGGGGATTACAACTAATTTAGAAACTATTAGTATGTACACATAATTTACATTGTTCTGTTAAATGTATGATATCTTGAATGAGTCTACCATGAATCATCTGCCACCCAGTACCAATTACCCACCTTTGTTTGCTCTTGCCAGGGTTATGCAAAAGTCTGACTTGTTTTACTTAACTTGAGTAATTGCATGTCAATAGCTGATTATGAACGTTGTTATCTCATTTACTTCCTCTTCCAGGTCATTGATATACATATCATATTATTGCATGTTTTTGTGTGTGTGTGTGTGTTGTGTTTGCAAAAATGAGAGTACTTAGGGGTTAGTGTTCTGTTTGGGCTCTTCAGACATAGGCCTGAAAGTTTCCTACAAGTTTCTGATGGAATAATTTCCCTGTTAATTTGTATTTTTATTTGACCAGTATGCAGGCAAAATCCTCTATACAACTAACTGGATAAGGATAAAATATGGTATTTAGGTGTTCATATGAATGTGTCTTTTGTTTGATATAGGAAAACTCTCTTAAATTGTATCTAATTTGTATTGTATAAATAAGAAAAAATTGTTTTCTGAGCATTTTATGTTGAACATATTAATCTTCTTTATTCAATAATTTTTCATTCTTTCACATTTTATTCATGAAACAAATATTTACTGTATACCTAGTGTATTTCAGCTACTATATCAAATTCTGGTGATTAGTGGTGAATAAAAAAAATGTGGACTCTGTTTTACCATCTAATGCAAAAAAAAAAACCCAGAAATTGTAAATTGAGGTAAGTAGATAGAAACAATGCATACTTGAATGCTTTGGACACAAATAAAAATTATCTTTTTATAGAATAATTCTCAAAAGCTTCATTGAAGAGATAATATTTAAGATAAAAAAGGAACAGGTAATAAGAAGGCAGCTAAGTGAAGACTGAGGCTATCAGTAATCCTGGATGCAGAAATAGCATGTGCGATGGTCCTGAGTTGGAAAATAATTTTTATGTTAAAGGAACTGGAAAGAGAATGGTGTGCCTAGATGGCAAAGGTGGCAAATATTTGACATGAGAATGAAATATAGGTTGCTGTCAGATTTTCAAAAAAATATAATTCATCCTAATAACACTGAAATACATTTTTAGCAGAAAAATGATGTTTTATTTGAAAATCTAAAGGTCATTCTTGCTGCTTTTGACAAAGGAAATGGTAGAGGAAACAAGTGAAAGTGGGAAGGCCAGTTAGGGTTAGAAAGAAGATATAGTAACTCTGGGAAGATGATGGATGAAATTAGGTTAAAAAGACTCATGATGAAACAAAAAGATTGAAGATAAATTATGAAATAGAAATTACAAAAGATAATGGGCTTTAAGAAGAGTATTTTTTATTATTTTATTAATTTTTATTTTTATTAATGGGCTATAAGAAGAGTAAACAAAAGCGATGAATAAAAAAGATTCCCTGATTGCTGATTTAAGCAATTTGGTGGATGGTGGTATCCATTTACTGAGAAGGGAAGACCAACTTACTGGGGAGTCTAGAAGTGAATTTGGAAGTTCTTAAGCAGGGGAGCTGAAATATTGTAAAATGAATAATTTAATTTTGAATATTTTAAATTTGAAAAATGTTCTATCCAATCGAGAAAGTCAAACTGAGCTAGGTAGATGTGCACTTTTCTAATACAAAGAAGAAAACTGGGGTACATAATGATTTGAAAGTCATGGGCACTGAGTTTTATGAAAAAGTGTAGTGATCCGTCCAGGTGCAGTGGCTCACGCCTGTAATCCCAACACTTTGGAAGACTGAGGCGGGTGGATCGCCTGAGGTCGGGAGTTCAAGACCAGCCTGGCCAACATGGAGAAATCCCGCCTCTAATAAAAAATACAAAAATTAGCTTGGCGTGGTGGCGGGCGCCTGTAATCCCAGCTACTTGGGAATCTGAGGCAGGAAAATTGCTTGAACCTGGGAGGCAGAGTTGCAGTGAGCCGAGAGCATGCCACTGCACTCCAGCTTGGGCAACAAAAGTGAGACTCTGTCTCAAAAAAAAAAAAGAAAAAAAGTATAATGAGAGAGACAAGCTGAGAATTAAAAAAAAGAAGAGGAATGTTGATATTCAGAGTCTAGGTAGAGGAGAAGAAAAGTGATCTATTACCTGTTAGAGAGTGGAATATAAGAATAATGGACTGTATTAAATAACATAATGATTAAGAATAGATGAATACAGAGAATAGTCTATGAACATGGCAAAAATTTGGGCACTGCAAAAAGAGCAGTTTAAGTTGAGTGGCAAGTAGCAAATTAGACTTCAACGGGGCAAAGTGTGAATGTGGGTAAAAGGGAAGAGGAGGTGAATATAGACAGTGGTTCTTAGAAGCTTGTCTACCAAAAAGTAGGGCTGTCATTGGGGAAACTTGAAGAGGTTAAGGGACTTTGTTTTCAAATGCTGGAGATACCGGGCCATTTTTCTAAAATAATGAGAATGATGTGTTAAAAATGAGAAAATTTCTGATGCAGGAGAGAGAAATGATACCAAAACGAATTAAGTCCATGAGAAAGTAAAAGGAAATAGGATTCACAGCTCAAGTAAGATGATTGACCTTTGAAATAAATACTTCTTCCATTAAAACAGAAGTAAAGAAGGAAATAATGAAAGTAAAGGTGGGTATGTTTGGAGATTTAACATGGAATATTGGCTAAGAATAGGGGGAGAAATATATTTGAGGTGAGAAAATAAGTCGAAAAGCTTGGTAAGAAGCCTGGCTGGGTGCAATACCCGCTATCCCTACAAGTATTCATTTGTGCAACAACATTTCACAATATTGTGAATAATTATGCTTTCATAATTACAAATTAAAGAAATATATATGTGGACTGATTTTCTACAGCTGAAGTGATTTTCTGCAGTTACTCAGGGATAGACATCGCGAAGGTGAATGTCAAGGACACTTGAAAGTGGGGTGAATCTCCGGATGTGTGATTCCCTGATGTTTCTTTCTAAAGCTCACTTACTAATTGACGTCTCCCTTAATCATGGAGGATAATATTTTAAAATACATGTAATACGGTTTGGATCTGTGTTTTCACCAAATCTCCTGTCAGGTTGTAATCTCCAAAGTGGCAGGAGGGGCCTGGTGGGAGACGATTGGATTATGGGGGCGGAGTTCTCATGAATGGGTTAGGGCCATCACCTTGGTGCTGTTCTCGTGATAGTCAGTGAGTGAGTTCTCATGAGATCTGGTTGTTTAAAAGTGTGGAGCACTTCTCGCCTCTCTCCCTTGCTCCTTCTCCCCTATGTAAGACTGCTCCCACTTTGCCTTCTGCCGTAATTGCAAGTTTCCTGAGCCCTAACCCGGAAGCCAAACAGATGCCGCCATGCTTCCTGTACAGCCTGCTGAGCCATGAGCCAATTAAACCTCTTTTCTTTATAAATTGCCCAGTCTCAGGTATTTCTTTATAAAATGTACGAATGGACTATTACAACATGTTTCCCATTTTCTAGCAGTATTAATTTTTTATATCATTTGCCAATTTATTAAATGAATTTGAACTCTCTGGCATCCTCTTTACCTTTTCATATTTCATTTCTCCTTCTTCCATACTATTCTTAATTGTTATCCCCATGTCTATTAGTCTATTATTGCATTACTATATAGAAATACCTGAGACTGAGTAATTTATAAAGAAAAGAGGCTTAATTGGCTCATGGTTCTGCAGGCGTTACAGGAAGCATGACGGCTTCTGGGGAGGCCTCAGGAAACTTTCAATCATGGTAGAAAGCAAAGGAAAATCAGGCTTAGCTTACATGGCTGGAGCAGGAGGAAAAGAGAGAGGGGAAGGTGTGACACACTTTTCAACTACCAGATCTCATGATAACTCAGTCAATGTCATGAGAACAGCCCCAGAGGGAAAATCAGCCCCCACGATTTAATCACCTCCCTCCAGGCCCCATCTCCAACATTGATGATTGCAAATAGATGTGAGATTTGAGTGGGCACACAGACCCAGACCATATCACCATGCATGTTTGTATATTTTCTATACATAGCAAATAAGGTACAGCATTGTCTTGCATGCTTTAAAACTATATAATGGCAAATTCTGTTTCATTCTACAATGTCTCTTTTTCTTAGTAGTATGCTTTATTTTTTAAATGCATCTTAGTTCTCCTTCATGTACTTTAAAGATATATTGTATTCCACATAGCAATATACACCAATTTAGACATTCTTTTTTTTATTAAAATGAAATTTGGGGCCATTTTATTACAATCAATTTTCCACACCACCTTGTGCTCCATCTCTATAATCATAACCCTTTCCTCTCCAAAAGTAAAAATTTTCTTGAATTCTAGCACATTAGATTAGTCTTTGTTTCCATGTAAATATACATATAATATATTCCCTTGTTCTGGTGTCTTTCACTCAATATGATTTATCCATATTGTTTTATGTTGTTTGTGTTGCTGTTTATTTCCATTGATGTTTATGTTTCATCGTGTGAATATTCCAAAATTTGTTTATTCCTCCTACATTTGAGAACATATGGATTGTTTCTAACTTTGGCCTATTTAAATAATGTTTCCATGAATGATTTAGCACATGTCTTTGGGCACATGTTTGTGCACATTTCTTTTGCATGTATACCATTGGTGAAATTAAAAGGATGCCTTAGTCTGTCTGGCATAACAAAAATGCTATAACAAAAATACCACAGACAGGATGGCTTATAAAGAACAGAAATTCATTTCTCACAGTTCTGGAGGCTAAAAGTCCAAGATCAGGGTGCTCACACGATCAGGTTTTCGAAGAGGCCCTCTTCCGGTTGCAGGATGATGACTTCTTGTATCTTCACTTTGCTGACAGCAGAGAGAGGAAACAAATCTCTCAGGACTCTAGTAAGGGCTCTATTTCCATGCCATTCATGAGAGCTCCACCCTCATGACTTTCTCTAATCATAATTAACTCCCAGAGGCCCCAGCTCCTTTTACCATCCCACTGGGTGGTAGGATTTTA
Organism: Homo sapiens; assembly: GCF_000001405.40. Lineage (NCBI taxonomy): Eukaryota > Metazoa > Chordata > Mammalia > Primates > Hominidae > Homo > Homo sapiens. The sequence continues at coordinate 71,353,552 of NC_000013.11, read as the reverse complement.
ACATGAATTTCTAGGGAGGAGCACAAACAGTCCATTAGGAAGGGTATATGTATTTGCAGCCTTATGAGACACTGCCAAAGTGTCCTACAGTGCATATACCAATGTACACTTCCCATCAGTGGTGGATGAATAGTATAGTGGCTTCACATATTTGATAGCCCTTAGTATTTTCGGAATCTTTTATTTTATCCTTCTGGTGAATTTGTGATTTTTGTCATTGCGGTATTAACTTTTTAAAAATGAATAATGAGGTGGAGCAAATCTTCAGTTATCCTTTTTTTGTGAATGGCACATTCATGTCTCTTTTTTCTCTCTTATTTGGGTTACCTGTCTTTTGTTTCTTAAATTGAGGACTTCTTTTTATATTCTTAACATGAGTCCTTTATAAAATATAATGATCACAAATATCTTCTTTGATTTGATCTTGTCTTTTTTGAGTCACTTAATGCTTTTTTTTTTTAATTTAATTTTATTTTTTTTAAGACAGAGTTTCACTCTTGTTGCCCAGGCTAGAGGGCAATGACACGATCTCAGCTCACCACAACCTCCACCTCCCAGATTCAAGTGATTCTCCTGCCTCCGCCTCCTGACTAGCTGGGATTACAGGCATGAGCCATCACACCTGGCTAATTTCGTATTTTTAGTAGAGGTGGGACTTCTCCATGTTGGTGAGGCTGGTCTCAAACTCCTGACCTCAGATAATCCACTCGCCTGGGACTCCCAAAGTGCTGGGATTATAGGCATGAGCCACTGCACCTGGCCTAATGTTTCTTTAATAGACAGAGTTCTTAATTTTAATGTACTCTAATTACAAAAAAAGACAAGCCTTTCTTCTTTGTTTAGTAGTGTCATCCTTTTCTTAAGCAAGTGAATATACATGTGGCTGTTTTTTGACTGATTTGTCTGTATATTTGAGACAAAACCACACTGTATCAATTCTTCAGTTTAATAATAAAAATTTGTTCTAACACTGTATTGGATAGCATAGATCATTTGCATTTCTATATAAATCTTAAAGCCTGCTTAATTTACACACTGTGTGTGCGTATTTTTATATTTTGTGATTCATAAATGTATAAAAATTTACAGCTGTTTTATCTTCTTAGTGCTTTGATTTTATCCTATTATATCTAAAAGTTTGCTCTTTAAAGCTTTGTCTGATATTGGAAAAATTTTAAACAATTTTTTTGTGTTGTTTTAGTTATTAACAGCCTGTTATTTGTTTTGTTTTTCTTAAGATATTTTTATTTCAACATTTCTGTGTCCTTAAATTTAAGGTATACACTTTTAGACAAAACAATTTCATTTATAAAATTCATATAACAACTTTTATCTGTTAATTGCAGTATGTGGGACATTTAAATGCTGTATTATTTCTAACACATTTGAGTTTAAATATATCATTCATCTTATCTTCTTTTTGTTGCTATAAAATTTTAAAAATTACTTTACATTATACTATTTTATTTATACATTATATCAATATTGACTAATTAAAATTAAAATTCTTAGAATTTTCCTAACTCTATGGGTAATTCAAGGACCTTAGAACAGTTAAATGCCTATATTCCCTTCCACAAATTATATTATTGCCATGTATTTTCAGTATACACATATTTTAGATAAGAAAGACATCATTATTGTTTTGTATATTGAATATTTTTATATATATCCATTAATTTATTATTTGTTTCTTTCTGTGTTTATTTAATCTGGGAACTTATTTCTTTTGCTTAAAGTACCTCATTAGTATAACATAGTGTAGTCTATGGTGACCAGCTTTTTCAGTTCTTTGTCTAAGGATGAATCTGGCTTTCATTTTTGGAAGGATTTTTTTTATTGAATATATAAATTTCTAAGACAGTTATTTTGTTTTCACAATTAACAGTGTCATTTTAGTGTCTTTGTTTTTGTGGATATTTTAGCTGTTGGTGTTACTATTGCTACTTTGAAGGCAATGTTTCTGTTTTCTCTATTTTGGAGATATTTTCTTTTTTTGTGTTTTTCAGACATTCTTTGTTTTATAGAGATTGGTGTTCATATTGTTTTTGGTATCTGTGGCTTGATGTCTTTTGTCAATTTTGAAAAGTTATTATTCGTTATCTCTCCAAATATTGAATTGATGCATTTTATCTATCCCCGCTCAATTTTGCATCTTTGTATTAGGCCATTTCGCCATGTGCCAGATGTTTTTTACACAATTTTTTCTGTATTTTAAAAATATTTTTACTTCTCCTTTTCACTCACTTTTTTCATTTTTTTTTGTTTGCTTGTTTCTTTTTCAACTTGAAAAAAATATACTAAATTGCATTGGCAAATCCGATTTACACAAATCAGAGATCATATTCAGTATTGAATGTTACTAAACATTTCAAGAATACATTAATCAAAAGGCTCAGATAATGCTAAGAGGGTTCTGGAACAGCAGTGACCAGTCCTCACTAATGATGGCTCCTTACTTCATCAGGCATGTCCCTGCTGCTTGGAATAAATAAAGTCTGTACGTGAGAGATAATGTACAACTGTAAAATTATGTCATTTCCTGTTAAGTCCATTTAATCAGAATTTTAATGGATGTAGGATAACTACAATGCTGTTATTGTTCCTTAGCATTTTATTTTTGAGATGATCCTCTTTATTCTACTTGATGCATTCCTTAAATTACAATAATTCATTGTTAAGCATCTATCTTCCTTGTATTTCATTTATTAAATAGATTCTGCCTATAAATCTCTCACTATACTGTTTGTCATTTTTATGTTTTCATGACTTTCTAAAGGTTCATCAATATTTTCTTCTTTAGTTCAATACAAATGCAGTCAAGTAGAATATGTTCAAAACTGTGGTCAGTTTAATAGACCACAACAAATATACAAATGACCAGAAATCTAGAAATAATCAGAATGTGAAACTTTTACAGGGGTTCTGAACATAATATATCAACTTGGCTGAGTATTTCAACAATACTATATCTATGTAAAGAACATATTAAAGTGGTTGATAATATAAATAACAACCATGACAGATTTTAAAGGTGTAATCTTGGGAAGAAATTCCCTTTCTTCATTTATGATATCACTAGATAAAAATGTCAAGTTTTTGAAATTAATGAGTGAAGCACATACACATGTGCAAACATACGTACCAGTCTCAATATTTTTCAAAAAATTATTTATTTAAATTTTCAAATTTGCCACAAAACTTTAAAGAATATTTTGGCAGTTCTAAAATTAAGTCCAACTTCTCAAGGAGAAAATTCTGTGAGCCTAAAAAATACCCAAATCAGTTAGAAAAAAGGTCTGAAGATCATTCTCAAAGAGGAGTGTTGAAATTGTTTTTAGCAAAGAGGAGTGTTTGGATTAAGGCCAAAGCTTCAATATATTAAAAAGAAACAATAATACTTTAGATATAAAATTTTGTTATTTTATTATATGACCGGTGTCATTATATTATAGCTATAACTTTAAGTACAGTTTTAATTAACCTAATTTATTATCAATCCAAAGAAAGATCTTTTATTATTCTTTCTCTGTAAGAAAATTACAAAGTCTTTATTTGAGGTATAATTTGGATGTCCAGTAAATTGTAGACTTTTATTCTTTGACCTGTGTATTCAGGAGATTATTTTTGTAAGATTAGTGAGGGTTTATTTTAAAAATTTGGGCAGAATACTGTAACAAAAATAAGATGCTAAAATAATAAAACCTTGGAAGCTACTAAGATAAGCTAAAAATGTATTAAAATTCTATTCTTTTTCTTTTTAGTGGAAGTTTCTATGTGATTGCTCATTCGGTAGGTTGGTTGTTTCTCTTCTGGATTTTTCCCTAAATGCATCACTTACAATTGAACATATATCAAAGTTTCTTTCTTAAACAACATCTGATATTTTTGTAAAAATTACTATTTTAAACAAATGGAATCATGTTTTTATGATGATTTTTAACCTCATTATATTCTCTTCCTTTCCTTCCTTCCTTCTGTCAACTGTCCATTTATCTATCTATTAATTCATCTGTAATTGCTTGGTATTAGTGCATATAATTTTCAGATCCAATGTCTCTAATAGTAAACATTGTAGATAGAGTTTAACTTTCATTTGTAGACATAATTTGTATGAACTATTGATATCATTTGTTATATAACTTCACAATTATTCTAAAGAATTCAGTTGCACAAATAAATTTGATGTTACATTAATAGTTTATTGAAGATCTGTGAATCATGATTGGAGTGTTTTTTTTTAACTTGTTGGTTTTTGTTTGTATGTTTGGTTTTGTCAAATACACAATTCTCAGTTTTAGACCCTTTACAGAAAAATTGCAAAGATAATAAAAGAGATTTTGTACAGATCTTACACTATTTTATCTATCATTAACATCTGTTAGTATACTAAATTTGTTACAAATAGTGAATATTGACACACTGTTGTCAGCACAAGTCCATACTTTATTCAGATTTCCTTAGTTTTTTACCTAATTTCTTATTCCTGTTCCAGGATCTCATCCAGAAGGCCATAGTAAATTTCATCCTCTTGTCTCCTTAGGCTCCTCCTGGTTATGACAGTTTCTTAGACTCCTGTTTTTATAATCTTGACAGTCTTAGAGGATTACTGATCAGGTATTTTGTGGAATGTCCTTCAGTTGGGATTTTTCTGATGTTTTTCTGATTAGGCTCTGATTATTTGCTGTTGAGGGGAAGATTACAAGAAGTAATTTTCCATTTTTTTCACATCCTGTCTGGGTTCATGCTATTAACAGGATGTATCCCTGTTGAGGTTGGCCCCAGATCACCTGATTGAAGCAGTATTTGTAAGGTTTCTCCACTGCAACGTTACTTTCCCTTCTCTCTCCTTTGATAGTGTCCTCTTTGGCAGAAAGTCATTTTGTAAAACCCACAATTAAGGAGTGGGAAGTTATGCTCCATCTTTTTGAGGGTGGAGAATCTGTAAAATGCATGTTTTGTCAAATAGGTAATGGATAGATAACTTCTATTTTCCTTTGCATATGGTAATTTCACATGGACATTATGGTGTCCATGACATTTTAATTTTCTTTATAAAACAAAACTCATTACATTTTTAGCCGTTTAAAAAAATCAAGCGAAAGTGCAAAAGACCGAAGATCTAATTTCTAATTTAATATCATTAACATACTAGCAGGGAGTGTTTTAAATGAGCTAGCTGACAATCACCTAGCACAAAGCAAGACTCTGAGAAACTTAGGACTTTAAGTAAGTGTTAATGTCAGAAGAGTCATAAGTCAGATGCACGAAAGGCGAGAGAGGTTTGGGTTAGAGCTTGGTGGTGGAAGATGCAAAATATCCAAGAGACAGCATGAAGACTCTTATCCATGATGGAATGAGAGTGAAAGAATCAGGGGCTGCTGAAGACAATTATCACCCTGAAAACATGCTGTTAGGTATGGACCTATGATGACACAGGGGCTGTTAGGTCTCAGCCCTTGTCTCCTGCCCTCCACCTTAGTGCTCTAAAGTTACCTAAAATTTTGGACTTTTCTTTCTGACTGCTGTGCCTGCAGCCATTTAGAAAAGTTGTAGACATATTCAGAAGAGGGCAACTAACTCTACTTGAGATATTTAAGGAGAATTACATAAGCTAGTTCTTGAAACTCAAATGGTTGTTTGACAAAGATGGAATAGGAGTCAGGGGAAGGCATCCTGGACAAAAAAAACAGCATGGATTATGTCAAGGACAGTGTGAAAGTCAACATGCACCCAGAGAATAACAATTTCAGTGTGTCTGGTAGAAAATGTTGATGGAGGGAAGTGACCAAAATAGCTGTGAAGAAGTTGGTTGTGATTAAGGGATTTGGACATGTAGGATATTACAGGCTAGAAAGAACTAGAGAATCTTAGGTAGTACAGAAGTATAAAGATATTGATTTCACTATATATAAGAATGGATCTGAATTAAGCAAGTAAAAATGTTTACTATATCTTTTAGGGAAAGTGTTCAAAGTCCCCCAGCAATGAACCAGCAGTTTTTTATTTTTATTTTTTTTTAACAGTACTTGGGTGGCCTAAATGAACTAACACATTTCTATAATAGATATAATTCAAGAAAAACAAAACCAGTTAGCAAATAGTTCTTACATTTATGGGTATACAATAGATTAACAATCACACATTGCACTTTATGACTGGGCCTAATTTTTTGACTTAAAACTATTCCAAATGTATAAACACAGACTAAGGCACTAGAATGTTTAAGAAAATAAACTCTTAAATTCTATAGTGACTTCTCTTTTCCTGGAAATCATAGGATATTTTGTGTATTTTAACTACATTAACATCTAAGTAATTTTGTTATAAAAAGGCAACATTGTATTCTATCTGCTAACCTGTGCATCTTAAACTTTTAAAATAACACTGTATTTTATTTTTAAACCTGAGAGGAAAATTAAACCAAACCAATGAATCAGTAATTTATTTGTCAGGTGTTTCTATTTTTGTTTAGGTTTTTATTTTTATTTTTTTCACAAGTTCTATCCTTGTCTAGGGTATACAGAACTCCTTGATATGGTTTGGCTCTGTGTCTCCACCCAAATCTCATATTGAATTGTACTCCCATAATTCCCACGTGTTGTGGGAGGGATTCAGTGGGAGATTATTTGAATCATGGGGGCAATTTGCCCCATATTGTTCTCATGGTAGTGAATAAGTCTCAAGAAATCTGATAGTTTTATCAGGGGTTTCTGCTTTTGCATCTTCCTCATTTTCTCTTGCTGCCACCATGTAAGAAGTGCCTTTCATCATCCACCATGATCCTGAGGCCTCCCCAGCCATGTGAAACTGTAAGTCCCATTAAATCTCTTTTTCTTCCCAGTCTCAGGTACGTCTTTATCAGCAGCATGAAAACGGACTAATACAGTAAATCGGTAACAGTAGAGTGGGGTGTTGTTGAAAAGATACCTAAAACTGTGGAGGCAACTTTGGAACTGGGTAACAGGCAGAGGCTGGAACCGATTGGAGGGCTCAGAAGAAGACAGGAAAAAGTGGGAAAATTTGGAACTTCCTAGAGACTTGTTGAATGGCTTTGACAAAAATGCTGATAGCGATATGAACAATAAGGTCCAGGCTGAGGTGGTCTCAAATGGAGATGAAGAACTTGTTGGGAACTGGAGCAAAGGTGACTCTCGTTATGTTTCAGCAAAAAGACTGGCAGCATTTTGCTTCTGCCCTAGAGATTTGTGGAACTTTGAACTTGTGGAACTTTGATGGTTTAGGGTATCTGGAGGAGAAAATTTCTAAGCAGCAAAGCATTCAAGAGGTGACTTGGGTGCTGTTAAAAGCATTCAGTTTTAAAAGGGAAACAGAGAATAAAAGTTTAGAAAATTTGCAACCTGACAATGTGATAGAAAAGAAAAACCCATTTTCTGAGGAGAAATTCCAGCCAGCTGCAGAAATTTGCATAAGTAACAAGGAGCTGAATGTTAATCCCCAAGACAATGAGGAACATGTCTCCAGGGCATGTCAGAGGCCTTCACGGCAGCTCCTCCCATCACAGGCCCGAAGGCCTAGGAGAAAATGATTTTGTGGGCCGGGCTCAGGGTCCCTGTGCTATATGCAGCCTAGGGACTTGGTACCCTGCATCCCAGCCACTCCAGCCATGGCTGAAAGGGGCTAATGTAGAGCTTGGACCGTGGCTTCAGAGGGTGCAAGCCCCAAGCCTTGGCAGCTTCCATGTGGTGTTGAGCTGGCAAGTGCACAGAAATCAAGAATTGAGATTTGGGAACCTCTGCCTAGATTTCAGAAGATATATGGAAATGTCTGTATGCCCAGGCAGAAGTTTGCTGCAGGGGTGGGGCACTCATGGAGAACCTCTGTTAGGGCAGGGAACAAGAGAAATGTGGATTTGGATCCCCGACCCAGAGTCCTTACTGGGGCACCATCTACTGGAGCTGTGAGAAGAGGGTCACCGTCCTCCAGATCCCAGAATGATAGATCCACCAACAGCTTGCACCATGCACCTGGAAAAGTCACAGACAACGCCAGCCAGTGAAAGCAGCCAGGAGAGGATCCGTATCCTGCAAAGCCACAGGGGCAGAGCTTCCCAAGACCATGGGAACCCACCTCTTGCATCAGCATGACCCAGATGTGAGACATGGCATCAAAGATGATCATTTTGGACCTTTAAGATTTGGCTGCCCTGCTGGATTTCTGACTTGCATGGGGCCAGTAGACACTTTGTTTTGGCTAATTTTCCCCATTTGGAATGGCTGTATTTACCCAATGCCTGTACCCCCATTATATCTAGGAAGTAATTAACTTGCTTTTGATTTTACAGGCTCATAGGTGGAAGGGACTTGCTTTGTCTCAGATAAGACTTTGGACTGTGGACTTTTGAGTTAATTCTGAAATGAGTTAAGACTTTGGGAGACTGTTGGGAAGGTTTGAAAATGAGATTTGAGTGGACATGAGATTTGAGTGGACATGAGATTTGACTCATGGTTTTGACTGGTTTTGAAATGTGAGGACACAAGATTTGGAGGGGCCATGGGCAAAATGATATGGTTTGGCTCTGTGTCCCCATCCAAATCTCATCTTGAATTGTACTCCCATAATTCCCACATGTTGTGGGAGGGACCTGGTGGGAGATTATTTGAATCATGAGGCAGTTTCCCCCATGCTGTTCTAATGTTAGTAAATAAGTCTCATGAAATCTGATGGTTTTATCAGGGGTTTCTGCTCTTGCATCTTGCTCATTTTCTCTTGCCAGTGCCATGTAAGAAGCGCCTTTCACCTTCCTCCATGATTCTGAGGCCTCCCCAGCCATGTGGAACTGTAAGTCCAATTAAAGCTCTTTTTCTTCCCAGTCTCGCGTATGTCTTTATCAGCAGTGTGAAAACAGACATGGCACAGAATATTATCCTTTTGGCTGGGCATGGTGGCTCACACCTATAATCCCAACACTTTGGGATGCTGAGATGGGTGGATTGCTTGAGTCCAGAAGTTCAAGACCAGCCTGGGCAACATGGCAAACCCTGTCTCTATTAAAAATACACAGAAATTAGCCAGGCACGGTGCCATGTGCCTGTAGTCCCAGCTACTCAGGAGATTGAGGTAGGAGGATCACCTGAGTCCAGGGAGGTAGAGGCTGCAGTGATCCAGGTTCACACCACTGCACTCCAGTGTAGGCAATGATGTGAGACCACTTTTCACAGGAAAAAAAAAAAAGAGAAGAAGAAGAATATTGGCCTTTTTATCTTTTGTTCTCTGATCTGATATTTGAATATCTTAAATTTGCATATTATTTTTCCTAAAGTTAATGTGTTCTTAGTAAAAATGGGCAAAACCTAAACTAATGAAACAATTTTTTTTCAACTTAATAAAATGGACTACAATAATCGAACTTTTCATTCAGACATAACCACAATGTCAATTCTTGTTTTTCACAACAGGAGTCAGTGAAATGAAAATATCATTACTCCCAAGAAAGCTATAGAAAAACATAAATTTTGTATTTGGCAATACACTTTGGGTTAAGTTTAACACATTTTTAGAGGGATTAGAGTTTACACATAAATGTCATGAACTGAAGAAATTTTAGCACTTTCTGTGGACAATAAATTGTGCTCAATTTAACAACCCAATTAAGGGTAAAGTGAATATATTCTAGGTAGAACTAAAGAACTATGACGGCAAACATTTTTATATCTAGTATAATTTTTATAAAATGCACAAATTATAAAAGATTTCCAAATACTCATGTACTTGCATGATCCTTGTGATGGTTAATACTGAGTGTCAACTTGATTGGGTTGAAGGATGAAAAGTGTTGTTCCTGGGTGTGTCTGTGAGAGTGTTGCCAAAGGAGATTAACATATGAGTCAGTGGGCTGGGAAAGGCAGACCCACTCTTAATCTGGGTGGGCACCATCTAATCAGCTGCCAGAGCAGCTAGAATATAAAGCAGTCAAAAAAAAAAAAATGTGAAAAGACTAGATTGGCCTAGTCTCCCAGCCTATATCTTTCTCCCATGCTGGATGCTTCCTGCTCTAGAACATTGAACTCCAAGTTCTTCAGCTTTGACACTTGGACTGGCTCACTTTTCTCTTCAGCTTGCAGATGGCCTATTGTGGGATTTTGTGATCATGTGAGTTAATACTTAATAAACTCGTATATATATATGGGAGTTTATATATATATATATATATATATATATATATATATATAACTCTAGAGGGACAGAACTAATAGAATATATATATAGTTATATAACAATATATTATATTTTATATATTTTGTAGTCTTTGCTAATAGCTATATAACTATGTAACTATATATAACTATATATAACTATATAACTAGATGTATTACTATATAACTATATGTATAGTTATGTAACTATATATATATATATATATATATATAGTTCAGTCCGTCTAGAGAGAACCCTAATACAATCCTTGTGCTTCACTTTTGGGTTTACGATTTCTAAGTATTTACAGTGATTTTAGAGGATGTCGTTGTCATGCAGTAGCTTGCTTATTTTTATTAACTAAAAGCTAGTTAGACAAGCTATATATTTCAAGAAAATGCAAACTATCAAGAAATTACATGCAGGCAAAATTTCTGCCAGTGAAGACACGATTTCATTACTTCTGGCCTGTGTAAACCATCATAAAACTCTATTACACACACATCTATAAATAGGACTACATTTTTCCTTAATAAAAGGTGGACAGGTTAAACAGATTTCACAGCACTTAGAATCTTTGACTATTACAACCAGTTGAAAGTCTTTTCCTCCCCTTCCATGAAACTTCTCTCTCATATTTCTTTTTCAATTAACTCAACTGTTCTTTTATAGTCTTTGTTAATGCTTCTTTTGCTTGCTGTTTATGTCACCAGAACCAGGGAACCCCTTAAAGAGTCAACTCTCCCTTTTTCTACATAGGATACACTGCCTGATGCTGACAAAAATGTGCACCTGTCCAGAAAGTTTGTATTAAAGTGAATCAATTCAATTTTGATAAGAAATAAACTTTGTTCTTACTTGGATCAGGTGTCTACCCATAGCAAAGATAATAATTTTTTTGAGTTTATTCTACTTGAAGTTTGTTGAGCTTCTTGGATAGAATGCTTTTCATCATATCTCAGGAATTGAAAGCGATTATTTCTACAAATAAGGTTTATGTTCCTTTTTCCCCTCTCCTAGGACTCCCATTATGCATTTGTTGATACACTGCTAGTGTCCCAGAGATCTCTCTTCTTTTTGCTTCGTTCTTTTTTATTTTGTTCCCCTCAGAACAGAAAATGTAAATTGACCTACGATCACATTCACTGATTCTTTTATCTTCCAACTCAAATATGTTTTTAGCATCTCTGGTGAATTTTTAAATTTCAGTTATTATACTTTTTCAATTCCCAGATTTCTATTTGATCTTTTAAAAAAATTGTTTCTATCTTTTTATTGATATTCTCCATTTGGTGAGAAACTTTCTCACACTTTCCTGTTATGCTTTAGAAATTGTTTCCTTTAGTTTTTTCAAAATATCTATAATAGTTGAAGTCTTTATCTATTAAATCCAGCATCTGGGCTTCCTCAGAGACAATTTCTATTCCATTTTCCTGAGTATTAGCCACACTTTGCTGTTTTGTTTTGTTATTTTTTGCATTTTTAAAATCATTATTTGTTGAAAACTGGACATTTTAAATAATATCATTGGGCAACAATGGCAGTCAGCCTCTCTGCTTATCATATTTGTTTTTGTTGTTGTTTATTGTTGCTCTTGTTGGTATTTATGTATTTAGTAAGCTTTTTCGACTAATTCTCTAAAATCTGCAGCTGCTGGAATAGCTTCGAGGTGGCTTGCTTAGTGGTCAACCAGTGATTGAACAGAGTTCCTAAATGCCTTCAACCAATAAATCTCCAAACAACTATACATTTTGCCCCTTTTCTCTCTCTGTGAATATTGGTTGGAACATGCCTTCCACACTCTGGCAGTTTGCAACTTCGCCTTCACCTTCACTCCCAGCTGGTGCATAGCCCTGTGGCCAGCCAGGAGTAAAAAGTTGGGCCTTCTTATGTCTTATGCACACAGCCCTACACAAGCCATGCCTTTCTGGTTCCCCAGGAAATGTTGGAACTTTTCAAAACCTAGTAGGCGTATCATATTCTCTGATTTTTCTTTTCATCTTTCTGTCTATCCTTTTGTTTGCTCCAACTAACATCAGGCAGTAGCACTGTAACAAATCACTACTATCTTTTTTTTTTTAACATACACTCTGATCATAGGGCTTTCCTCACTGAATGAGTTCTGTCAGGTCAAATAATGTCAAGCTATGTGAATGAGGCTTTTAGGAGTTTTCAGGTCAAATAGTAATAATTTTCTGAAAATAGATTTTTTTGTGGAGCTTCAAATCTATTCTGCCCCATCTAGCGACTGTTGTTTCCATAGTTACTGTTGTTCTAACTCTGCTGGTCTTCAAGGCTATTGGAGTGGAGAGAGAAATATGGAGAGAGAAATGTAGGAATAGGACATTTTAATGTCCTTAATGTCCTTTGTCTTAATGTCCTTAATAAAAGTCAACTTTTAAAAAAAAAAATAAACACACCTCAGGTTGTTGCAAGCCTTTAATTAATTCTCAGAGTTAAAAAAATTGATTTTGACTTTTTTTTTTGCCATATATCTCATTGCTTTTCTGGAGGAGTAGATTTTTCGAGGTCCTTACTCTATCATTCTGAAAGTGTTTCTTCCTTATGTTTGTAGAGTTCTTTATGTATTCTAGATACAAGTTATTTATCAGGTATATAATTTGCAAATATTTTAGACTTTGTGGTTTTACTTTTCATCTCTTAACAGTGATGCTCAAAGAGTAGAAATTATTAAATTTGATGAGTCTAATATACTAATTATTTTATTTAATATATTGTATCTTGGGTGCCCCCAGTAAAATTATTTGCCTAATCAAGGTCTCCAAATTTTTTCTCATGTTTTCTTCAGGAAGATATATAATTTTAGTTTTTCTTATTTAATTTATTTTTTACATCTGGCATGAAATATGAATTGATGTTTGTTTTTAAAATATGGATATCTAATTTTTCTAGCATCATGTGTTGAAAAGATTAGACTTTCTCATTGGTATGCATTTGTATCTCAATCAGAAATTTGTCATCCACAAATATGTGGGTCTATTTCTGACATCTTAATAATATGGAATCTTTTGATCTATGACTACAGTATATTTTCCATTTATTTCTGTGCTTTAAAAATTTTAATTTTTTAAATTAATTTCCAGTATTCTTGTCTAATACAATTGCTGATTGTTCATTACTACTGTATAGAAATGTAGTCTTTTTTACACTGATGTTGTACCCTTCAGTCTTGCTAAATTCACTTATTACTTCTAGTAGCTTTTTTTTGTAGATGCTTTAAAATTTTTTAAATAGACTATAATTTTGCCTTTGAACAAAAGGTGTTTTATACCTTCTTTTCTCATCAAGCTACTTTTATTATGTATTTTCTTTATTTTACTGCCTATAATCTCTAGTACGATGTTGAATAGAAATGGTGAGAGTGGACATCCTTGTCTTGTTCCTGATCTTAAGAGAAAACTATTTAGTCTTTTACTGTTAAATATGATGTCATTTGTAAGTTTTTATATGTCCTTTATCAGTTTGTACAATTCTTCTTCTGTTTCTAGTTTGATGAGTTTTTTTTCTGGATGAGTTGTTGAATTGTGTAAAATATTATTTTCTGTCTCTATTGAGATGGTCATTTGATTTTCCTTTTTTAGACTGTTAATATCATAAATCATATTGATTGACTTCTGAATCTTGCACTTAGAGAATGAAACCCAGTTTTTATGCTTTTTTTTATATTTCTAGATCTGATTTTAGAATAATTTATTTAGATTGTTTTCAGTTCAAAGCATTTTATAATTTCTATTTTGTTTCTTCATTTACTGTTGGCTATTTAAAAATGGTTAGTTGGTTTTCAAATATTTGTGTAATTTTCATATTCTTAGGGATTCCTAGTAACCCTAACTCTAGACATACACATTTTCTGGTCAACTTTTCGTTTTTAACTTTCAGTTGTAACAATGAGTAAGAGAATTCCTGATTTCCCCTTGTTACTTATATTCATTTTCAGAAATGTATAATTTTATAGTTATATGAATTTATCTAACCAGTCACTTAGGCTAGAGTTTCAATCTAGAGTAACAGTACCTGTGCATATTCAGAAAGATACAAAGCTGATTGAACAAGAGGTAATGGTTCTTGAAAAAACACGTATTACCACTGGTCTCACACAGGACTAGATAGAGTTGTCTGTATTTTATAACCCTGTTCATCATCAAGAAGATTAAGTTCATACTAGGATTCCAGAGACAGTGCAGCTCTGAAGACTGACCAAAGCCATGAGAGATAAGAATATACAAAAGCAATGACACATCTGATCTGTGTAATTTCAAACTTAAGTCTGCATTAAATTTATGCTCACTGTTTCTTCTGGCAATCTCACTAAAAATTGGTTGAGATTCTCCCTCATAACTGATAACATATTTTATTTAGAGAGAAACACTTTAAATATTATTTACTTTACTGCTTTTAAATAATTTTATATGTTTATATTAGTAAGTTTCATATTTTTAAAATTTTTATTTGCTATTGATTTTAGGCAGAACTATATCAAAGAAAAATATTTCGAGAACAAAAGGTAGATTAAATAACATAAGAAGAGTTGACATTTTTGGCTAATTTCTTAGTGATGTCATTAAGATCTCTAAATTCAGATAGACTGAAACTCTACTTTTCAAATGCAACGGTTTATAAGTTTTTATTTGACATAAATTAATAATGTTGCTTTTAATATGCATAAATTATACACAGTCTTGGTTTATCTGAAGGAATTTCCTTAAAAAAAGAAAAGAAAAGGAAACCTTTCTGACATGATTATGCAAAAGCTATCAGACATTGTCAAACTAAGACAATCATCTTGATTATTTTTGGTTGTTTGGAGGATAAGTAAAATCCACCCAGACTAAAAAGTAGCTCTTGGGAGGCAAGCAATTTGATTTTGTAATGAAGTGTGCTTTCTCACAAGGTGATTATAATAGAGTCTGAGGGGATAGGGATGAAAGCCGTGGTAGATTATCTTTCATTTCCTAAAGTCTTTTATATTAGAAAGCTCTGGGAATGTGGTCAAATGGTCCTTGGGGGTTCATGTATCTTCCAGTAAGCTGCTTTGATACTAACAGGGTTACATGTTTAGGACATGAACATTCCAGCATCTGCTCCTTCAGGCACTTCAGGCATGTAATTTATAGCTCCTGAATACGAGGCAATACTGAATCGTCCATGGAAGAGTAGAGCTATTTTTTGCTACACTGTTCTACTTCTAATGCCCAATCAGAGATATTTTACACCAGATTCTTCACATGGAAAGTTGTGCACATGTTTTTATAATGAGAGCACAGTCTTCCAGTTCTATTCACTCTTCAGATCCTAAGAAATGTCTTTTATTTTTAATTCAAAACATATATGCAAGGAAGACCAGGCTTAAATAATTTTTCTTCCTATATAGATACATTGTTCAACGAGAGAATCACCAGATGCATTAGAATTTGAAGAAATTTATGATAAATCTATATGAAGAGTAATAATTTAAATTTTACACTCCATGAAAAACAAAAATATTCTCATTTAAATTTCATTAGCAACTTGGGAAATGAGATTCTACTTTGGTATACCCTTACTAAATAGACTTTTTCTACCACATGTTGCCTAAAACCAACCTTGCCACTTTTGCCAGATAAGAGAAACAGTGTAGCTCTTACTTTGGAAGTTAACTGGGATTTGGAACTGGTTTTCATGGATGAAATTAAATAGAATAAATTATATTACAAAGAATGTTTTATCAAAAGTTATAATTAGCTGGTGAGTATATGGGAAATGAAAAGGTGGACTTCCTTCTATAAGAAGAAAAAATATTATAAAGATCTGTATAAAGGAGATTGTTGATTTTATTTAACGTGAACAAATATAGTATATTAAAACGTATAGTATATTGGAATTTGTCCAACTATTAAAGTATAAAGTATAGTATATTGGAATTTTTCCAGCTATTAAAAATAGAATATTTACAAACAGATAAGTCAGAAGTATTTCAGGTGAAAGAGACAAGTTTTGGTGGGGGAAGATGGTCAGTGCTTACCATTTTGTAATCAAAAGAGTGAGGTAGATCAAGAATGAAGTTGGAATGCAATCAGGTATATTCACGGACTTCATTAAGACCCAACAGGGTAAGTACCTCTCCCAATGGGTGCAGGCATCAGGTCTTGTCATGTTAATAATATTATAATGAAAATGCTACATAAAAACCAAGTAAGTAAAAACAAAGGCCAGAGTGACCCGTTATTTAACTTTTTATTTCATTGTAGACAAAATTCTGTGGAGTATTTCGTGAAAAAAGGATGCTAACTTTTAAAGGGGTCATAGATTTGGCTAGTAAATAAAAAGAATAAAATTGAAATATAAGCTCAAATATTCTTGGGCATTGCCCAGTTGTCTAATTTGTTAAGGATTATAAATAAGTCAGTGTCATTAATTAATTTGTAAATTTGTATTGCCTCATCTATTCTATTTGGTAAACACTAGTGCTTAGGTGGAACAACTAGCCCTAAGAAACCTAAATTTATTCTTCTGGTGGATTTTTATGTAGTCTTAGATTATTACCAAAGGAGCCATTTTACTGTCCACTTTATTTTCTGCTTCCTCCTGCCCAAACAATTCCATCAAACAAGGTCCATCAAAATGAATACTGTTTTACTTGTATATTCTCTAAGAATTGGAATAGGCAATGGATAAGGACAAGGTGCATATTTTAGAAATTTAAATACTAAATTAGGAATATATTTAGAACATTTCAATTATTATTTGCTCTGGAATTTAAAATTATATAATTCAAGTCCTGAATATGTTTAGTTATTCACTTTAAAAATGTATTCTGTTCACACTGTAAACAGATATAATCAAATCTAGATATATGAAAGAGCAACAAAATATTTTATAATCATTGTAAAAGAAACCCCTACATTTATATTTCTCTGAGGTGCTATGCACAAATACAAATTGGGGGAAATTAATATTTTTTCTATATTTGTGTTAGCTACTCATCATATAAATATCTTCATTTCTAATAATATTAGAAAGAGCATTTCTCTGTAGAAAAATGTCATTTCATTATATCAGATGGCATCTATTGAGTATCATCTGCATACAGATTGTTGTGCTAGAGGTGGGGCAGGGAGAAGGTTCAGGAAATATCCTTTGAAATAATACCCATATTGTCGAGGACCTTAAAGATGAAGTGCTGTAACTTTCAATTCAGACATTCTGGAACTATTTGGAGGATCAATGTGGTGGGAATATTTTGGGATAAAACAAATATACCATTAAGGTATATTCTCCTGGGATGAAATATACCATTAAGGGAGAGAGGCAGAGGGACAGTAAGAGGCAAGGAAGGACAAAGGAAAAGAGAGAGATGAGCCTTGCCGTGGGGAGCTATCCTGTGCATTGTAGAATGCTAAGCAGTATCCCAGGCCTCTATCCACAAGATACAAGTACCACTCCCCATACCCCACTCCTAGTTGTGACAACCCAAAATGTCTTCAGACATTGATAAATATACCCTGGGGGCAAATCCACTTCTAGTTGAGAACCACTGATGTAAGGGAAAGAGGTTTTGAGTATGAAATAGCAGATTTTTGTCAGATGTCCCTCTGGGTCTACCTGCTCTTCACCCCAGTCAATTCAACCAGGATGAGGAGTACAAAGTGTACATAGACAGGTGATGAGAATGAATTTCATAAAACTTACCGGGAACATTGGTGCATCTCATGATTCCAGCTGGATTCAACAGAAGGCTGTCAGGTATCAGGACTATAAACAAAGATATATCATGTGAGCCAGCTCCTGGCAACTTCCTTAAAAAAAAAATGTGCATTTGTATACATAATGTCTGTTTCCTATAGTTTTACAAAGTGACACGTAGACATACACACACATATGCATGCTACTTCTCTTTATTCTAGCCTCATGAAATGGTTTTATTGAATTTAAATTTCAATAGTAACCCTACTGTACTGTTGTAACTCTTAGGCTGATATCTGAGAAAATAAGGATTGCATCATTATTAATTTTCAATGCAATCAAATTATACCTTCAACTTATAATCTGTGCATCTAACAGTACACATAAATTTGATGGCTTTGACAGTATATGGAATTTTTGCTACTTTTCAATGCTAACTAAACCAAGAAAGAATTAAACGGCAATGTGGGCCTTATTGTACTACATACTATGGTCTCAGGGTATGGTTCCCTCATCAGCAGCTTCGGTAACACCTGGGAAGTGCTAAAAAGGGCAGTTTCTCAGGTCCCACATCAGACCTACCATATCACTCCTCTATTTCTAGTTTACCAAGAGCATGTCTCATGAATGGAGTTTGAATTTCATCGAATTACTATTCTCTCTTTATGGAGATGAGTTTTAAGATTTTTTTAAATAGGTTAACATACCTTTTTGAAAATACTTTTAAAAACAATCTTTGCATGCATGGAATGCATGTAATGGGGATAATATATAAGTATTCCTTTTATACATTGCTAGCTTTATTTGGCTAATATTTAGCATTTGATTGAGCATCATGTGAAATTAGATTTTTAGTTTTTGTTCTTGCACTGCCTTTGTCTGGATAGAGTGTCAAGTTTATACTAGCCTCATAAAACCGGTCAAGAAATGTTACCTCTTACTTCCCATGAAATATTTTTATAGGACTCAAAATTTCTCCCTGTGAATGTTGAAAGTACACATTTCTAAAGCTGTCTTAGTTTATTTCTCTGCCACATTTTTTTTTACTTTCAAAATATTGATGTAAGTTTTTTATAATTATGAGACCATGTAAAGCTCATTATTTTCTTGAATCAATTTTATTAATCTACATTTTACTAGGAATTTCTTCTTTTAATCTAAGTTTTTCATTATAACAGCTTATAGTTATTGATATATTTTCTGTTAATCCATTTTATTCCTTGCAACTCAAGGTGTGTTCTGCAGTTAGGCAGCATTGGCATCGTTTGGGAGCTTTTAAGAAATGCTCAACCTTGAGTCCCGTCTCAGAGCTACTGAAGGAAGTCCCTGTGATGGATTGTCTTCTTCAAGGCTCTATGTTGAAGTCCTGACTCCCAAGTAGTCAGAATTTGACTTGTATTTGGAGATAGGACCTTTATATAGGTAATTAAGATTAAATACTGTCTTATGGGTAGGTCCTAATTCAATATGGCTGGTGATTTTATAAAAAGAGGAAGTAGAGAGTAGAATTGCAGGTAAGAGAGGCTTGGAAGCACTGAAGGAAGGGCATGGTAGAAAGAGGTTGGTTAACAGATACAAAATTACAACGAGATAGGAGAGATGTGTGCTGGTGTTCTGCAGCACTATAGGGTGAATATGGTTAACAATAATTTAAGGTGTATATTCAAAAAACTGGAAGAGAGGATTTTGAATGTTCACAACGCCAAGAAATGGTACATGCTTGAGGTGATGGGTATGCTAATTACCCTGATTTGATCATTACACATTGTATACATGTATTGAAATATCACTTTGCATCCCATAAATATGTACAATTGTTATGTGCCAACTAAAAATAAAAGAAAACATAGGAAGAAGAAGAGACACCAGGGATGTGTGAGAGCATTGAGGAGAGGCCATGTAAGGACACAGATGAAAGCCATCTACAAGGCAAGGAAAGGGGCCTTACATGGAAACCAACTCTGTTGACACTTTGATCTTGAACTTCTAGCCTCCTTAAGTAAATAAATGTCTTTCTGTAAGTCACCCAGTCTCTTTTTGTTATAGCAGCCCTAGCAAACGAATACAATCATCAAGTCATTTGTAAGCACATTAAATATTGAGAAGCATTGTTTAATCTCACTGGCATCTATAGTAATATCTCTGTTTTTATTATTACTCTAATGTTATTGTTTCTTGGCTCTTTTTACTATCTCGATCAGTGTTTCCAGAAGTTTATTCATTTCATTAGACTTTTCAAAAAACTAACTTTTGGCCTGTTTAATTCTCAATAATTTATCTTTGGGATTATTTTATTATTTTCTTCTATTACTTTTATTATTTCCTTTTAATGTATTTGACATTATACTATTGTTCTCAGAATTTTTCAGGTTAATACAACTGATACTATACAATGGGACAAAAGTATTAATTTTAAATTAGGCAGATGTGGGATTTTTACCAAATATGTTGACAACATATAGCTATCTATTTACTTATCCATATGTCTTAGAAATGTTGAGGTTTTTAGTTCAGCCAAAATTTGAAAAGACTTCCTTCTCCTCATTTCCATAAACTCTAAGTGCATATTGTATTGGTGCATTCTTCATGACATCGATGTGAAATGATTATGTTGCTTCAGCTGCAAGGGGAGGTTTAAAGCTGCTTCACAAAAGTGTCATAGCCATGTAAGGGGCAGCCTACCATCTCTTCAAACATCAATAAGGGCCTAATTTTTGTTAATAAAGAGAGTAAAAGAGAGAGTTTTTTTGTACTATATATCTATATTCCATAGACATTTAATCAACAAATCCTCTTGATTGTACTTTCAGGTATGTTTTTATGTCTTCTCTTAAAACCTTAGTCCAAAATCCTATCATCCCTCACCTATTATGCAAAGACTAGATTTAAGTCATCCAAGTCCATGTAGGATGATATATAGTACTTCCATATAGTATGGAAAGTATTGTCTTCCCATAATAGTGAGTGTTCACTAAAGAATACATCCTACCAGTGTTAAAAAAAAAAGCTGTAATACATTGCTGTTGCTTGTAGAATAATAACTACATTTCTCACCATGCTTGACAAGACTCTTCATATGTCATTTATTCTGACTTGCCAGTCTCATCTTTTGACACTCTTTCTTTTGTTGTGAAAGTTCAACTTTCCCAGATCTTGGTTTAATTAATCTCCACTGAGTGGCCTCACACATGCTGACCTCTAAATGATTTTCCAAGGTACTTTCACCTAATATATTATTCCTAACTCTTCATAGCTTTACCCAGTTATCAGGACCCTGACTTCTTAAGACTAGACCTGGTTCCTCAGCTATAAGTTCCAATTACATCTTATATTTCTTCATAGTAATTCACTCAATGACAAGCCAGTAATCAATTGTGTATAATAATTAGCTATTTATAGTCTGTCACCTTGCTATTATATAATTTTTATAGGCAGGTGTTAGATCTGTTTCATTCACCACTCCAGTGTTTTAAGACAGTGAAAACAAGCAGAAACTATATAACTTAAAGCAAATGTCATAAGAATTTTCAGTACATTTGTTACACAACCAAATCTAGTAACTCAAATGATCTTTTCTAAAGTTATAATGAAATTTATAAAGGATAATAAATCTGATTATAGCACACAATAGCTTTCTGGATGATTGAATCTTCATTCATATTATCCCCTAAAAGTCCTCAGAATAAGTCTTTATATTACATTGTACTGGAAATGTAGTATAGTAACAAAAATATGAGCCCCCCCCCACCCAACCCCATGACTGGGTCCCCTAGAGTTTTAAATAATCAGATTTGTCTATACTGAGACTTCATCAATTCATGAATTAGGATTCAGATTTTCCTACCTTGCACTGGTTACCACAGAAGTTTCTGCCTATGGGTTTCAGCTCTGGTAAGTTGTGATTCTCAGTATCAGTCTGTCTGCCTCTTCAATTTGGGGAGCATCAGATTGCCCTGCGAATTCACTTCTCTGATGGATCTAAGAAAAGTTGTTGATTTTTTGGTTTGTTCAGCTTTTTACTTGTGAGAATGGAGCAGTGTCTTCCAAGCTGCTAACATGCTGGACCAGAAACTACTAACTCCTATAATGTGAGCTTTAAAATACGTTTGGAAATTTCAGACGTAGATGCTATCATATGGGCTAGGCACTGTTCTCAGTGCTATACACATTTTAACACATTTCAACCTTAAAACTACTCTAGGAAATAGTTACTGTTATGGATTTTACTTTACAAGAGAGGAGACAGGCACAGAGAGACTAAGAAATTTTCAAAAGGCCACATAGCTTCATCACTTACAAATTACGGCACAATAATATGAATCCAACCTGTTTAAATCCAATCCATGCTCTTAATCTATATGCCATTTTTCATTGGACACTACAATTATTTACATTCTTTCTGCCCTTTCTTCTTTATAAAGTTGCCTAATTTAGTTCTGGAATCCACCTGTCATAAGTTGGCCTTCTCCTTTGGAAGAAGAGGTCTCATCCATTCCTAGCAAGAGCTGAATCATACAGGGCTTACTGATTATGGTGGTTCCATTCTCTTGTTTTAGAACTGGTATAGACACAGACATGCAATAAAATTTTGCTCAAAGAGACATAAGAGAAGTTCCAGGAGACTCTTTGAAAGGTGTCTCTTTTTTTTTTTTTTTTTTTTTTTTTTTTTTTTGCTGCACACTATCATGTCTGGATATATCTGGAACTTCTGGAGTCATCTTGTGTATCTAAGAAGGTCACGTTGGGGAGAATGGGAAGATAGATAATAAAGAAGAAGGTTGGCATGGCTCACACCTGTAGTCCCTGCAACTTGGGAGGCTGAGGAGGGAGGATTGCTTGAGCCCAGACGTTCAAGACTGCAGTGAGCTATGATTGTACCACTGCACTCCACCCTGGGCAATAGAGTGAGAGATTCTGCCTCAAATAAATAAATAAACAAATGGGATAATATAGAAAGTACCTGAGCTCCTGGTTATGTCATGAAGCTGTTAAATTCACCTAGCCCTGGAGCTAGCTTTGTTAATTTTTTTTATGTAAAACACTAACATTTCCTAATTGTAAGACATTTTGATAAGGGTTTTCTGTAACGGTACTGAGAGTAACTAACTTAATAGAAAAACAAAAATAAAAACAAACAAAAACAAAACAAAACAAAAAGCGGGGAGGGTGAGTAAAACTTAAATATTTTTTAAAGTTATGTCTTTCATTTACCAAATGATATTTCCTACCATGAGATTCAGAAAATTTGGTTCCTAGAAATAAAAGCAATGTTCTCTGCAAATTTGAAGCAAACTTTCAAGATAAGTAAAAATGCATGGTATTGAATAAGGTAGAATTTAAAGTCAGTCTCTCTTGTTTCAACTTGTTATTCCAACTCTTACAAATGTTATAACCTTAAACAAGCTATTTAATCCTTTTCTAGGTCTCGGTTTCCTCATGTGTAAAACAGATAACTGATAGAAACTACCTCAGAGATACTATGAGGATTAAATGAGAGAATCTATGTAAAATTCTTAGCAAGTAACTGAGACATCATAAGAACTAAATAAATGTGAGTTATTACAATGAACATTTTCATTTTCTGAATTACAACATTCCCTAACAATTTTTCTCTGCTTTACAAGATAATCAAGTTCCTATAAGGGAAATTCACATGGGAAAAATATTAGTTCCAGTTATTGTACCTTACTAGGAATGTTTATTAAAATTCTCAACCTGTATAGTTGTAAAGGAAAAAATAAGAATTAGATTTTTTCAACTAAATCACTTTAGAAATAAGTTTATATTTTAGAATTCGCTTTTTATTCTAGTTACACTGTTGATTTTTCATTCTTTGATATAGAACAGCAAAACAAAAATTCATATGATGTTACTATTAAGAATGTTAATCTTAAATTTAGAAAATTAAACTTAGTTTTCCATTTGTACCAGGTATTGGCCATTGGTAGTTGAGATTCTGATACCTTGTGTGCATCTTTTAAGTTATTTTTTTAAATGAATATAGTAATGAAATGGAAGTTCCATGTAAATATGCTAGCATAATAAGCTGCTTTGAGTCCTTGACAATGATGCATACTTGTGGTAAGTATGAAAATAAAGTTGCCATTTTCCACAATATTAATCAGTCCCTTTGCCTCTCTTTATAACGAGGTTTTAAAAAATGCATTTTCCCAAGACTCTTCTTATTCATTTATTTTCTTAGTTTTTTTTTTTTTTTAAGCCATAGACCCAATGATTCCCTCTGATAGCCTTTTCTCATTTTATTCTCAATAATGACTCTTTGGGGAGCAATGCTATGGGGAATGAGATTGATCACCCATCACTGCTGCTGATGTGCTGTTTAACCAAGTCGGTGAACCATATACTGTCATCATAGAGGGTATCAAATCAACAGTGTGTGCCATGTAGCCTACACTCCTGTGCACCTAACAATAATGATAATCTTTTAGTTCATTAGACAGCCCAAGGAACTGCTAAGTAAGTTGCAAGATAAAAATGTTTTATGCAATTCAGGGCAATCTATATGACTGAAGAAGTTGAAAAACAGTATCTGGGGTATGTGACTTTCTGATTTAGACCTTATATGTTCCACTGATTTCAGCATTTAAGTTAAACTAGAAAAAGAAGAGCGTTTCAGTTTTGTATCTAACTTCATGATGATGTTTAAAAGAGATTCATAATTCTTAATGACAGTGTCTTATCTCCTAAATCACTTTCTGAAACATGAAAATTTATTAAGCTGTGTTGTTCACTTTATTTTATAATTCTTCTTTGACATTATGCCATAATAGTGTTTGTTTAGGGTTTGGAAAAACTATTTAGAAAGGGGAAATAGAAAATCATTATGCTTGTTAGTTAATTGCTTTATATACTAACATTTTGCTCCCCAGTGAGACTGTCAGATTTTCTAAAATAACATGCCTGTTTTCTGCTTATTTTATGTCATATCGTGGTTATACATTGCACAATTATTACAGTCTGGTTACATGCTAGTATAATTATGCTGAACTTCTTATCCTATTTAAGTATGCAGGATTGAACTAAATGTTCTTAAATACTTCGGTTTAAAGTTGGTTATTTTATTATGAAGGCTACTTGTGATGCAAAAATCAATTGCTTCTGTTCACAGAAAACTTGCCATTCATCCTGTTTTCTCCAATTTACATTGAGTATAATTAAAAAAAACTTTCTTAATATATGTAAATTAATAAAATGCATCTTTCACATATCAGAAATATCTTATTGTACCCAAACCAAATTTTTGTACAAAAACTGATTCTTAATTTATATATCTCTTAGAAATATCCAAAGGTAAATAATTTCTAAATGTTTCTTAGGATACCTATAAAATTGTCAATTCAGGTAATGAAATAATTATTAAGAGTTAATATGAAGCATAATATGAAGGATTTTTTTCAGAATTTTTTGAGATAAATTAAATAGGTAGAATTTTAATAATCTTGAAAATTAAAAATGTAATCTTTATTTGAAAATAAATATAATCCAATTTAAAGTAATCCCCAATAATTCTTAACATCTCTTCCACTTAATTAAACAGAAGCAGCTTTTTCCTCTTTTGGTACTTCCCTGTCAAAGTTGATTGCTTTCTCCTTTTTTGGCAAGGCCTCTGTTTTTATCTTTTTCAACTTATATTCTGGGTTTGAAGAGAGTGTCTGGGTTGTAATAATAATAATTCCTAGGAAAATGGATTGGATGAAAAATAACTCCATGCATTGTTGTTGATGATGATGTTTTCACAGAAATTTTAGAATATACTAGATAAAACTCAGCATATTTCACAAATAAAAATATAATGGGACATATAGAAAGCAATTTATTTGAGTTTCTTTGCTTGATAAGTGCGTTCAGACATTGATGATATTAGTGCTTTTGAAGTCACTACAGGCGGAGTTCCACTAATCCTTATAGATACTCTTTTAACTTTATATATGCGTTATGTGAGGAAGCTTAATGAAGAAGGAGGGAATATAAGAAAGAATAATATGCACTTTAATAAATCATATATCCTTGTGCTATTTAAATGTTTCTTCAAGGTTGATTGAAACTTTAACCTCAGTCTCAATAAAAAAGAAAAGCTTCAAATTTGCTAGACCTTGAATTTTTACAACACTATGTTGAATTATGCAGTGATCAGTCAATTATTCATCTCCCTCAGCCTGAGATAGCTGTGCTTTGAAAAGCATGCAAAAATGGGGCTACAGAATGTGATGCTGTGTCAGCACATTTCACTCAGGATTGCTTACAAGACAAATTTTTGTTTCAACATTGATTCTAGTTTTCTTGATGTTTGCTTCTAATAAGGTACCTGTTACAAATCAATTTCAGTTTGCATGCTTTAGTTTCTGATTCAGGATGATACACTGCCAAAATGACATTACTGCCTTTCCGCAAATTTCTACACCTGTGTGAGACATAGAGATCTTTCACATTTCGAGGTAGTCTTAACACGGGACCACAAAGCAAGCCTACTTTTTAGCTAATGGAATAAGCTAGAATTGATGAACTAGTTCTAAACTCCGGAAGAGATTTATCTGCAATAGTTGATATTCTTAGAATAATGTTTCATCAATAAAATAAATAGAAAGAAGAATGCAGAAATATAAGCGTGCTGGCTTCTAATAAATCCATTGGCAATGGAGGAATTCTGTTTGTGAAGGAGAAGGAGATAAATATTGCAGGAGTAATGAAGGGCACGGACTTTGGAATCTGAATCCTTGGTTCAAATCCACGATTCTGTCATCTACCAGCTCTTTAACCTAGGGCACTTAGATTTACCTCTTTGAGCCTCAGGTTCTTCATTATTGTAACGGGGAAAGAACACTTATCTCATAAGATAGTTATGGAAATTATACAGTATAATGTATGTTAAGAATTTGAAGCACAATGTTTAGCCCAGGTGAGTACTCAAACTAATTGTACCCATTTTTTTCTACTGGTAGTAAGAGTAGAGAATGGAGATTCACAGAGATATTTGGACCACAGGACACACTTTCTAAAGTCAGTAAAATTGATAAAAGATTCCCTCCTAATGCATTAACAAGTACTAGCCAAAGTACTCTTTCAAACTCCTTTAGCATATTTACATTTAATAGGAAGTATTTGGAAATACAAAGAGTATCTGGTATTAGCTACTTGCTTTGGTTCCCCATAATGACAGCTCTGCCTTTTTCGTAATTCCCATTGAATGTAGTTACCTTGCTCTGCTTTTATGGGGATCTTTCCAACATAAGTAGAATATTCAGAGACCCATCATGTTTTATGAAATTCAAAACTCAGTTGATTTCCTATTTAAAGTGAATACATCCAAGCAGCCCAAAGTTGACAATAAAATTGCCCCACATGTTCAAGGAAAGCTGGCTGAATAAAAAATCTGGGACCTATTCATTTCAGGCACACGATGTACACACAGTTTTAGTTTTAACATTTAAGACTTTATTTTACAAGCTAAATTTTTTCAGTTTAAGGACAATACTTAAAAGGTATACATTATCAAATTGTATATAACACAGTTCAAAATTAGCAAAGAAAAGTAAATATAGTAAATAATTAATTTATCCCCTATAGTAAACAAAACTAGCTACTGCATTTCTAAAAATAGACATATATGCTTGCCATAGAATTAAAAGTACTACAAACCATTTTTACCAAATACATAAAATATTGAATGTTCTAGATACATTTTTATTCCTGGTTAAATATTTTAAAAATAACATAAACCAACTCTAATATTACAAAAATATGTGAGACCAAATGCATACCATAAATTCAGGTGGAAAGAACATTCGGGAACAACAAAAACAACAACAAATTCAAGTGTAGCCTTTTTACTCTATGGAATATCAGCTTACATGCATCATTGCTTTTAAAGGTATAATTCTCTCTGGATAGAAATGCTGAGTAAAAATCAGTGAGGCATGGGTTAATGAATCTAGGATCAAAGGAATCTGGGCATATGCTCCATTAATCTTAAAAAAGCTACCGTGCCATTTATTCAAATAACATGTTAGAATATTTAAAACTTAAAAACCTTCATGGTCACTGACCTCATTAGTAGTCGAGTGTTTACCTAGATTTTCCCAACTTCAAGAAATAGTAACTGTAAACTCTTACATATTTCTAAGTGATGGCTCCTGCCGTATTTGAAGTTAAGAAAACGTAAAGGGGCTCATTTGGAATTATTCAGAATTCTATCAGGTGAAAGAACAGATATATTGAAGTAGCACTGTGATCATGGTAGCCAGGCCTGCAGGTTTGGGAGTGACAGATGTGGACCTACATTCAGGGTCTGCCACCTCCTACCTAAAACTATGAACAGATGTTCAAAGTTCTCAATTTGCTAATCCGAAAAGTGATGATGATCATACTTACCTCAAAGGGTAATCCCAGCATGAAATGAGGTAAAAGTTATAAAATACTTCTTACAGTCCTTAGCACCTGCTAAGTGCTCCAATATAGCATTTATTGACCTATCATGATGGTCTGTAAATAGAAGGGAGGAGTGATTGTTTTTCAGAAATCTTTCAAACTATTATACATACCTAATGTGTTTCCAACATAGAGCAACTTTTGCTAGTCCTTTATCAATTTGAATTAATATATTTATTCTATCTTCTGTTGTTTCGTTTTTACTTTTCCTTATTTTAATAACTGGCTTTCCATCTATCCATCTTCATTATCATCATCTATACCACCTATCTATCATAAATATACATATATATAAGTTTATATCTTCTTTTTAATTTTCAAATGGTGATTCACCCTATTTTCCTCAAATACTCAGTTTTGAAAATTGGGATCTATCTATCTATCTATCTATCTATCTATCTATCTATCTATATGTTAGATTCATCTATGAAGCTGTCCAAAAGGTATAAATAACTGGGTCCCATAGACTCGAGTCAAAATTCTCAGGGGTGGCACATAAAGGAACGATTACTTTAAAACTTAAAAAGATATTTTCCCAGGTTATGCTGATACATTAAAAGCCACTGCAGTAGAATATTTGATGTTTCTTTCGTGTAGTTCTGCTGTTACATTAAGCCAAGCAAATAACCAGAGACAAAGAGTAAAAATTACACAGTTCATTAGAGGAAGTAGTTTTATTCTTGCATGTATTTATTATGTTTCATCTTGTTCCTAAAATTAGATCAATCCAGTTTATAAAAGATGGGTATTTTGGCATCAAAATAGATTAAAATAAATGGAGGTGGAGAGAGAATAACAAAAAACAGTAGGAAATTAAGGTGAATTTGAGATGAAGCTTCATATGAAATATTCAATGTATAAAGACTTATGTTCTTGCTAAATACAGGCCACAATTTTTTGCTCTGAGCTTCATCCAGCCAAAGCAAGGAAAGAAAAATGAGCATTTTTGGTGTTTACATAACCAGCAAGTTAACAACTAGACAATGGATGAGGAAACACAATTATTTCTGATAGGCCAGTGATAAACTTCTACAATTTGTTTGACAAAAGGTCCAAATAATTGGGCAGATTTTGACTGTTATATTTGAGCCTGGAAAATACAAAATTTCTAGAAGAATAGAAAGTTTTGTGTCCTTATCTATAGTGCAAAGATCTGAAAAATCATGTCTCTTTTTCCTACAAATTAGCCTGAAAGTTAACTTCAACTTTAGCATCATATATATAATCATATAATTCCAAGGGAGAAAAAACCACTTTTGAACATGGTTCTGTAAATTTTAAAGCTAATCTTACATATCTTAAAATATCTATATTTTTTTCCTGAAACACATTTTAGTCTTGGAATGAAATACTACCTTACCTCTAATCATACCACAGGTAATAACATGGTTGCTAAAAGGGCTTCTTCTACTAAAGCTAGTACAAGTGATGA
This sequence comes from Homo sapiens, assembly GCF_000001405.40. Taxonomy (NCBI): domain Eukaryota; kingdom Metazoa; phylum Chordata; class Mammalia; order Primates; family Hominidae; genus Homo; species Homo sapiens. The sequence continues at coordinate 71,323,833 of NC_000013.11, read as the reverse complement.
GGCCATTATAATTTAGGGTGTGTTTCATCCCTTTGAAAGAGGTAATTCCACATGAGATGACTGTAATAGATACAGTGTGCTGTGATGTAGTATACAATAATAGAGTGTAATATAGCATTGTATGACTGTGGGCCTTAGAATGACAGTCTCAGGCCAAACAACTTAGGACGATCAATTTGATTTACACATAAGGGTTGATGCAAACCAAGGCACATGAACATCATGAAATCCATTTAGTCCTACCTACAGTGATGGAGGCCTAGAAAATAGTCATTTTCTTTCCATCTTTTCTTGCTGTTCAATTTTGGTTGAGTGCCATATAATGTACCGAAATAAACTGTCAACATACACTGCCGTTGCTCATTGGCAAAAAGCTCTGCTGCTTTTTGGATGGTTGACAAAGTGTCTACGGCATCAACACAGAATCTTGCAAGTACAAAATTAGATGTATATCATGCCATAGTGAAATGCTGCTTTGCTGATAATACTATCCGTACATACTTTTACATCTATGATTTCTTTTAAATTCAATTCAACACATATTTATTGGGAGGTTTATGCACAAGTGCTATGCTGAGTGCTGGATATACAAGAATGAATAATACATGGTCGCTGCCCTTGAGAATATCACAATATAGTAGGTAATACAGGTGTAAAAACAAATAAATTACCATAAAATATGAAAATCCTTTTAGAATAATAAAGAAATGTGCTGTGGGAGCTCAGAGAACACTTAACTTGTAGGAAAGTTACTGAAGAGGTGCCATTTAGTCTGTGTTTTATGAGAAGTAGGATTCTTTCCCTATTCTAAGCAATAGGAAAAACATTTGCATAAGTCCTGAAACTTGAAAATGTGGGAATATTCATCATATGTTGGAAAGTTCAGTAAGGCAGAAGCCTGAAAACATCATACAGGAAAAGAAGCTGGGTGGAGAGGAGAGTGAGTGTAAGAAGAAATCGTGGCTTTAGGATGCACAATGAATTGGGGGTGTACAATGAATGACTTTGCATGCCAAGAATTTGGATTTTGGTCTGTAGCCAATGGGCAGCCAAGGTGGGTTTTAAAGTACAGAAGTAACAGAGTTATTTTTTTTAAGATAATAATCATGTTGAAGGGGTTAGAGAGGGGCTGCGGTAGACATTGCTGCAATAATTTGAGAGGGTTATGAGAATAAACCTGGGATAAGAGCATGCAGTGACAATAAAAATAGAAGCTAGTTTGAGAGACATTTCTAAAGGAAAATGAAAAAAGGTTTAGTGAGCAATTAAATTTGAATCAGTAAGACAGTGAGTGATATCCCAAGGAAAATCAAAGCTTCCATCTTAGAAGAAAAAATGGATAGTGACCCTCTTAACTAAGATTAAAGATATTAGGTATAGTATGTTTTGAAAATATTAAATTGAATTCAGTTTTTTTTTTTTGTTTTTTTTTTTTTTTTTTTTTTTTTGGTGGGGGTGAGATGGAGTCTCACTCTGTCGCCCAGGCTGGAGTGCAGTGGTGCGATCTCGGCTCACTGCAATCTCCACCTCCCAGGTTCAAGCAATTCTCCTGCCTCAGCTTCCCGAGTAGCTGGGACTACAGGTGCACACCGCCATGCCTGGCTAATTTTTTTGTATTGTAGTCGAGATGGGGTTTCACCATGTTGCCCAGGCTGGTCTCGAACTCCTGAGCTCAGACAATCCTCCCGCCTTGGCCTCCCAAAGTGCTAGGATTACAGGTGTGAGCCACCACGCTGGGCCTGAATTCAGTTTTACACATACCCAAGCTACAGCATTTGTAAGATAGCACTTGTGAGGCATTCACACATGTTTGTTGTTTAACCATTTGTAAGGACAGGTATAGCCTGGTTCTCAGGAGGGAAAGTGCAGGTAGGATAGAGACTTGAGATTCATCTACTTGTAGAATGTAGTTCAAGTCACAGACATTAATAAGATTCTATGTGAAGTACACTGGATTATATGTGCCTCTTCACATACTTTCATTCTTATTTGTTTCTGGGACCCCGGCTACTTGTTTCACCCAAATCACCACTAAAATCATAAGGGCTGCAGGGGCACTGAGCACTCTTATGCAGGCACTGCTCCTCGAGTCCACACCTTGTATCTTTACCCTATTGCTTCAAGACATCCCTTTTGGCACTGTGTGTGAGACAACAGGAGGGATCTGCTTGGCACCCTTGCACACACAGTTAGTACAGGGAACCTAATGCACTGTGAAGGGAAACAGTGATCAGCGAAAGTCAAGAGCCAGCAAATAAATTATTTTCTCTTCTTTCTCCAAATAGACTCCCATTAGTTCACACAGACTTTCAAAACATGGTCCAAACTAATCTACTAACGCATCAAAGGCACATGTGTTAACAATGGCTACCTCCAGCTTTATTACAAATCCATCTTCTTTCTCCTTCTTTATTTCACTTCCCCTTCCCCTCACTGTTATTTCCTTAGAATTCTACTTCATAATAGAAGTAGTAGCGCGTAAAACATTATCTATGGCAGTGCTCTCTGGGAAAACCAGATTGTATGACAATGGGAAAGCTGTAACATACTGAGTGCAAATGGGAGAGAGAAACCACTCAGTACTTTGAAGAGAAAACATTTAATGTAAAGAATTATCAATTATAATAGGAGCATAGAATAATAAAGAGTTGATGAGGAAGAAGTCCAGTGAAATGTAAAATTTCTAGGAATAGGTATAAGGAGTCACTACCCATAGGGCTAAGTTACAACACTCAAGCAGAAGTTCCCCAGGCTGAGATCAAGATCTTGTTAGGGAGGGTACAACCCCGGCTCACTGAATGGCAGAGAAGTCGGCCATCTAGAGTTCTGGGAAAAGCTGTTCACAGGGAGGTGTCTTATTAGAGGTATCCTGCTGCAAAATCACCCTAGAGAGTTGCTAGGGGACATTGCTGACTGATGGATGTTGCTGGCCGCTGTTCACCACAGGAACTGGATACCAAAGAAGTCAGTGCTGTGGGTGCTGGGTGCTGAAGAATCTGCATGGACTGCAGGAGCCTGTTGCCAAAAAACAAACCCCACACCTAGGCCCTGGGCCCTGGGAAAGTTGAGGACACCACAGAAGCTGGACACTGGAGAAGCCAACTTGGTTGCAGGAGCCTTCTCAATAAGCACTGAGCCAGTAAGAAAAACCCTTTTCTTCTGAAATGTCACTCCAGTGCCCTCTACTGACACGGCTTAATATCACACCAATTGGCAAAGAAAAAATATTTAAAAGGCTCAAATCCATTTTCACTGAGCAGACAAAAAAGGGTGAAGGAGCTGAATTTCTGGCACACAAACTAAGACCAACACCTAGTCAGTGTATTACCAATGACTATAAAATAATGTAGCCAGATGGATGATGATATTTAAAAAATGGTGAAGAACAATAAACCAGTGTGAAAGACAGCTGGAAAGAACAGATAACCAGGGAGAGAGGAGTACTAGAAAAGCCGAGAGATCATAGTTTCAAGAAGTAGTATGTGGTTAACAGTTTAATTCCTTTGGAGAGGTGAAGAAAGATGAAGAGCAAAAGAAAAAAAAAAGCCTTTGAATGTTTAAATGTGTAGGCCACCAGTGGTATGAATAAGTGATGTTCCAGTAAATAAGGAAGAAGACAGAATAAGATGGGATAAAGAGTAAGTAAATTTTAAGGAAGCAGAGATATTCAAGAGATTTGGGGACAAATGGAAAATGCAATGGTATGAATAATTCATAGTAGGAAATATTTCTTTTTTATTGTTATTTTATTACTATTGTTGTCATTTGCTAAAGGAAAACAACAAAACTTGACAAACTTGGAGACAGAGAAGAAGGCATAAAGAGATCAAAGTTGGAGGAATGAGAATCTCTTGTAGAGGCAGAGACAAACCTTGGAAGGAGGGATCCCTTTCCTCTGAGAGAATGTTGGAAGAGTAATAATGGTGCAGTACATTAGAACATAGGGATTATGGAAAAAGTTCAAATCTGTAGGGAGACCTGAGGTTTAACTTTTTTTCTTCTCAGTAATGGATGGCTGACCTTAGTATGTTCATACCCTTACTGTGTCTCAATTTTTTTACATGTTAAATTGGTGCTTTGTACTCAACGCTATCTAAGGTCTCCTTGAGAGCTACAATTCCATGGCAATGTTAGGCTCCCTATTTTTTTTCAAGATGGGGTCTTGCTGTGTTGCCCAGGCTGGAGTGCAACGGCTGTTCACAGGTGTGATCCCACTGCAGGCTCTCCATTTTATAGTTAGGAAATAAGAAGCAGAAAGGATAGATATTTATCCAAGCTTATTCAAAAACTGAGTGATACATTTGAGACATGAATACAGGTCTAGAGCAGTGAGACACAGGCAAAGTGCACAAAAATGTTTCTATAAAATCAGCTTTATATGAACCACCTGAATAAGCCAACTCATGAAATGGCAGAGTAGTGCATCACATGTATCTGCAATTCAGAAATGTAACGTCAATGGATTACAGTCCAGCATAATGACAGCCCACTCAGTAAAGCTGTACTTGTGGAGTACAAATCCTGTTCAAATAAAAGCATATTGTAGGATTTATACCAAAAGATAAGCAAAAGGAAAAGGGAGAAGTTATATGTATCCAAGACAACTGTAACCAATCCATAGAAATAATAGTATCTATAATAATTCAGGGGAATTCCAGGGAATTTCCCCTGGAATTCTGCATATGATAGACAAAGATCCTCTAATTGGATCTTCTCCAACTTTATTGCAAATCAGCTGATATCATATAGACCTAAAATGTTTAATTAAGAGAAGATTACCGAGAAACTGTTGCAGATTGGAGAAAAGGATAAATGTCTAAATGCAATGTGGAAGCCTGGCACAGAAAAAGGCATAAATGGAAAAATTGGTGAAATTCATATAAACTCTGTAGATCAGTAATATTGTACCACTGACAATTTTCTAATATCATAAATTGTACCACGTTTATGCAAAATGTTAGTACTATGGGAAGTAAAGTGAGGGAAATAAAAGGACTCAGTACAATTTTATGAATTTCCTACAAGTGTAAAGTAAGTTCAAATTTAAAAGTTTATTTTTAATAAGACCCTATTCTGGTACCTATTCTAGACCTATTAAACCAAAATCACTTGGGGTTAGGCCAGGAATGTGCATATTCAACCTATTTCCGGGTAATTACATTGCACACTAAGGTTCAGGAACAACTTATACGACACAGAATCTCCTGAATGGGTCTCATGCTAATCCTACCTACAAGACGGAAAGAAAGCGTGTAGTTACAGAAATAAGGTCTCAGCAGGAATGGCTACTCCAGCATCAGAGTTTGGTTTTCCACACTGCAGGTAATGTGCAACCCTGCCATGACAGCCAGTTTGTCTGTCTCTCACCTTCTTTTAACTGGTGCCAGATTGTAAAGCAGTCTCTTGCACCTTTGGACTAAAGATTTTACCTTTTCAGAATTTTTTATTCATCTTTTAACTTACATAAAAGCTTGCCTGTAATTTTATATGAAGATGGAATTTACTTTAGAGTGTGATATTGAGACTGAAAAATATACTTCTGAAGGATTTCACTTTACAGCAAGGCTCTACATTGAAAAGAAATGTTGAATTTCTTGAGGTTGGATCCAAATCAATCTCAAGTCTAAGGCTTAACACTGCTGATATGTCAGTCATTTGCCAGAATGCTGTGCCATTCATACTGTTAAATGAACATTTTCATTTCCCAGAGGAGTGATCTGCTGTCCATCCTTATCATATGGAGCATTGTTCCCAGGCTATTTCCATCAGCACTGCTCCCTTACAATGGACGTGTTTCATTGGTTTACATAAATTGAGGGATGCTTTTAAATAAACTGGGAAAGAACATATCAACATGCTGCTTGTGATTAATCAGAGATTGTGTGACAATGAGAAGATGCATTGGAATATAAGAGGAATATTATGGACATCATCTTTAATAATGTATAGTATACATTTAAACAGCCTGATTTGGAAAAGATCCATATTGACTATATACATCTAAAGGGTGATTTAGAGGAGTTTTTCTTGCACAATATGATTATGTGACTAGAAGCAGGAAACAGTATTTGTCGTTTCAATCATCTAATGAGTTCTGTTATAAATGTAGATCTTTTAAAGCATACCTTTTGGAGATGTGTTTATATGAATTTTTATGAGCTTTTATAGATAAGGTTCAGAAACTAGTTTTTTTTTTTAAGTCAAGGATATTGAGAATTTTCATGTAAATTATCTTTTATTTCCCTTACCAAATATCCCAAATAACAAATTGGTAAATTAAAATAAGTGGATTTTTCCCATTCTTTCTGTATTGCTACTGGGTAGAAAATAATCTCCTAAACAAGTAAAAATTACCCTGAGAAATGTTTCAAAATCAAAATTTCCCATGGAAAAAGAGAAAATTATATCCTCAGATTCATTCATTCTTGTGTACATAGATTAAATAAGATACTAAGAAGGTGGATCCTTCTGTATTTTTTTAAATGTCATCAAGTTGCAGTTTACAAGATGAAACAAAAACTAGCAAGGGTTTGTGTGTACATAAAGACACACCCGATGCAAACACACACAATGCTAGAGTAAGAGCTTTAACAAATCCTCATTATTCAGGTAGTTAAAGAGCAAGCTAAATAGCAGCACCACCAGGCTGTAAATACTCAAGGCTGACAGAGAAGTGGTTATGACAGCTTTCACATTATCTTATTGCAGAATCGAGGCAGTAGTCACAGCTGGCTCATATGTCAAAATGTGTCAGGACTTAAATGGTAAAACAGGAGTGCAACAGCAATTGGCTTTTCAATCAATAACACAATCAATATATTTCACAGATATTTTCCCATATCTAAATTACTCTGCAGAGATGAGGGACCCTGACTGAGTGTTTATAAATCAATAAAACACACAGCTAAAGGACATCTGCTCCTGTTCTTTTACTTCAAGGTGCTGTTTGCCTTTTCTTTCCAACTCTCATCTTATTTAAGAATGTACTTTTGAGGACAAACAGCCCTCTTGTGCACACAAATCAGCTTACCGCTGCATTTTGTGCACATGATGTTTTTTAATAATTTTGTGCTTGAGCATTCAACTAAGTGTAAGGACAGCTTTTCTTAGCTTAGAATGCTTTGACTGTTAGAATTAATAAAGCCGCTTTCAAATTTCAAGTAATATATGCTACATAAACTTCAAATAAATAATATCAAAGTACAGCATCCAGACTTGCGAGTTGAAATAATAACCCAGGGCATTATTTTTTTTCCTCACATGAAATAATATTCTTGCTGAAAATTATATATTGTGTTTGTGCAGATATGCCACAAATGAGAAAAATGCTGTCCTCTACAAATCTATCCCCCTTGCAGAAAGATATGATGGGGGCAAAAAATATATACAATTTAATGCAAAACTCTAATACTGACATATAATTTTATTTCCATCCTGTATATCAAAATGAGGTGAAGTATGAACCATGTTTTAACAAAAGCTCTGGAATTCTGAGTTAAAAGTGCCCTACTCCATCACTAGCCTCTATAACACAAAGTAATATTATGTTTCACACTGTCAGTGCTTCTTTAAAAGCAGAGGGCCATATTGTGTTACAAGTGGAATGCAAATTAAATACATCAATCCTTATACTTTTCCTAAGCTTATGTTGCTGAGGGAAACATTTTCCAAGTGGCTCCTAGTAAAATACAGGCATTGAAGGATCATGGTAAGGATATCATTGCTATGGAATTTGGGGACATGATTAAAAAATGGAGCACCCCAGTGGAAGATGTTCCTCCTTAGTAAAAGCAAATTTTGCTCATGGTTTCCACTTTGCCTATCAAGGTATTAATGGCTTATGAATATAGAGAGAATTTCATTCCTTCTGCCGATGTTATTTTTTGACATGTGATTATCTTCACACTAGTAATACATTTCCTTAGTCTAGTCTCATCCTTTCTTCCAGCGTCATCTTTCAATAACTGTGTCCTTTTACCTTACATCTCAGATAAGTTGGGTCTCACTCTATTCCCTGAATAGACCTTGCCCTGTCAGGAGTTTATGCCTTTCTTTAACCTGTTGGAAAATTCTTTAACTTGTGAATTTGTCATTGTTTTAAGATCCACTTACAAATCCAGACTTGTGAAACCTCTGCCATTCTCCAACCAGAATTAGATGTTCTTTCTTCTAAATTTGTACATCACATTTCTTATAACTCTTTGAGATGGTTATTGTGGCCTTCTTTAGTAATTATTAATGATTACTTCCCTAAAAACACACGGTAAAGCTCTCTACTATTTGAGACTTGCCTTGACAATTTTTTGATTCCCTGGTTGTGAATAGATATTAAATATTTTAATTTAATTTTTTTGGTGGAAGAATGTGTTTAAGGTGTTTGAGACAGTTTAAAGAAAACAATACAAATGAATGTGAAGCACCTAAAAACAGTTCAACCCAATTCATGTCATTCAGACAACAAATATTCATGAGTGTCTCCTCTGTGACAGGCAGTGGGATACAGCAGTGAAGAAAGCAGACAGAAATCTTGCCATCCTTTTAATTACATTTTGGCAGTAATGAAAGAAATTGTGAAAAAAAATGGAAATAATTTTTATAGATGTTTTCCAAAGATTTAAGACAAATTTTCAGAGTTCCACACAATATATTGTCACAATTTTGTCATGAGTATGTTCAACGTGATATTTGGCACATATTTATATTAAAAATATTATTCCTTGATCATCTGAAATTCAAATTAAACTGACACCCTGTGTTCTGCCAACCTTAAATGCTTATTTAATTAATAATAAATAGCTTTAATAAATTAAGCTTTATCTACATATTATTAATGCAGGCACTAAGTGCTGTTTCAATGATAGACAAAATGAAGTTAAATAAAAGTAAAGTATTAAAATAGCATGTGCACTATAGCATTAGTTTTATTTTTTACATAAGAAATATATACTTAAATATGTAAAAATACCTAAGAAATATGGGGTATTCATGGAATCCAAACAGTACACACCATGTACCCATTGGGAGCATATCAACTAATTTTAGGTACAATATAAATGCAACATATTGGGGCTACTCCAGATTAGGTACAAATTAGAACAACTATTTTTTTCCTTTCTTTACCACCACCCCAGATAATCAGCCTGCTTTTCTCTCTCTAGGAACCACTCTCATCTCCTTGATGTTGTTTTCCTGGAAGACTAGTCACACAGCTTTCTCAACAACTTTGTCCTTGCTATCTTAAAAACATATCTGTACACTTTTTTTTGTCTTAAAGCTTTTAACTTTTATTTCAATAGTAAAATAGGTAACATTTTAAATGGAAGTATATACAAGGCTCAGGAGAGCTTACAAATTACTCGTATTCATAGTTTACAGAACATTATTGGAGATAACTCAAATAAAATGTCTAGCTCTTATTTCTTGGGGCGAGCCTTGACTGGTCCTCACTTTTAGGCCATATTTAAGGGAGTTCTAGATTTCTTTGCATTTCTGTATAAGGACTGCTCAGGTCAGGCTAAAGGAATATTCTTTTTGCCACAATCGTAGTGTTCCTCTTCATAGAGGTCTATGAAGGAATATTCTTGGGTTTGGTTTAGCAGAGAAAGCATTAAGACTCACTTGTGAATATCATTACTTTTATTCTTGAATCATTCATTATAGGGAGTAAATGTGGTTTTGAATTTTTTAAAAATACAGCATATAATAAACCATTTATATATCAATTTCCTTAAAACTATAATTAGAAATGACTTACAATAGACAAGTCGGGGTCTTAGGATGTGCTCAAGATTGACTAATCACTGAATAGCAACAACAGCCACAACTTACCTGCATTAAGTGCTTACTATGTACTAGGCACTTTTCCAAAAGCATATATAACCACATTTTAGGTTATTGTCTCTAAAAATGGGATCTATTTGTATACTTTGGCATTCTGCTAAATATATATGTGCAAAAATGGAGCCAAAAACTAGCATTGAGAATTTGCGCTCAAGAATGAGAGCTCTAGAAAATTCCTTCCTCCTACAGGAGGAAGGAAATATATGATTTCTGCCATTATATCATGGCTGATATATGTTTGACAGGTAGGCAACAGTCTTCTTTGGGATGCAAGAAAGGATATACTGAAGAAAATTTACTGAAGAAAATTTTCCACAGACATTTAAGATTACATGCAGAAAACAGTGTTTACAAAATTATCCATAGACCTCATTTTCCATGAAATTCCCCAAGCATTATCCAATGATCAGCCTCCAAACTCCTCCCTCTTCTCATTGTTTGCTTACTTACAGTGGCAAAAAATATCCTTAAACCAAGGTAAACTTAAAGACAGGTATTATACTGATCTACGATGACAGCTCACGTCCTCAGATCAGCTGTAGAACAACTTATGCATGGACAAGTTTTGAATTAATTGTGAAAAAAACAGGCAGACTGACAAGATTTGGACGGCTCTTGAAGACAAATGAGAATGTGAATATCAAGTTTTAAAGGGAATACTCAGGACTTAATTTGTTACTCATTATCAAAAAATTCAATACAAAGTGAAACAGTTCAAAGAGCTCAAAAATATTAATTGATAATGATAAAGAAGAAAGGTGAATGACTAAGGGTAGATTCAATTTGATTAAAAGACAATGAATACATGAAAGTTATGAGTAGCAACAAAGAACTGTTTTGTTGACAGTCATGCAAATAAGCATTGACCCATATGCTCAGTGCCTAAAATAAATTTGGTGCACTCTGTTCACATTTCCTGTCAGTTTGGGTTTTATAACAAGTTACATTTTGTTGGAACTCTGAGAATACTTGTTGCAGGAAGAAGGTTGTCTTCTTTTAACCTGCTGATTACTAGAACACTAAAAGAGTATGGTTGAATGGAAAGCTGAAGCAATGGCATTTGTAATTTAATTTGGGTCAATGAACATTTGAAGAACCAAATATAACTTTCATGGTCTAATAATTCTTGAAAACTCTTTGAAAAGCTTGTTTAATATTCTTCTTGATACACGTGGAAACATAAATCATTTTAAATATTCTCATTAGGTAATATATCAAATATATATAGAAGTACGGAAGCACCTAGGTACTCTCCCTATACATTAATAATTTGTCATATTTGTTTCAGAATTTAGGTTTTTGAGAAATAAATTTTAGAGACACACCTGAAGTCATCCTTTTGATCTTATTCTCCATCATCCATTCTTAAGAGAAAACAAATATCTCACATTAGGTGTTCATTCTTCTCTTTATATTAGTAAAATATTACCATAAAATCACGTATCGCTATAAAACATCAATTTTATATCTTTAATTTATAGAAATAATATCTTACTATATCCCTTCTCCCTTGTTTTTCTCACATAAAAATACAGATTTGTCATATTAATTTTTGTACAACTAGTATCTTAACATTTCTTGCTTAATATTTCAATGATTGTACAATTTACTCATTCATTCTCCTTTTGAGTGGCATTTTAAATCGTTCACCTTTTTTTCTTTTGCTAAAAAATTGCTACAGTCAACTCTCTTTCTCAACTATCCTTGTGCCTTTGTTAACTTTCTCTAGGACATATAAGGCATAATGCAATTGCTTAATTTATTTTGAGATTTAATACTAGATATTTGCATTTTAATACTAGATATTGCTAAAATGTCTTGTTATAAAATTTTACATATGCTGTTTGTGAAATTGATTTTTCTACATATTCTAATAAGTTTTTTCTTTTTAAATTTCTTCTGTGTGCTTTATGTCTCCTATCAGGAAGTTATAGTTATCTGTGTTTTTTTCTGAGTATTATTTGATAGATTTTTAAAAAATAAATGAATTATCAATTGTCCCATTCCAACTTATTAAACAATACACCCTTTCATTACTTAGTTGTAATACCACTTTGGCATATAACAACTATACATATATGAACAACTATATATATATATATATATATATATATATAAATAAACAACTGTATATAAGGATATTCCAATAATTTCTATTATTTTAATTGTTTCTCCCTGTTTCAATATGTTCCTTAATTTGTGGTAGTATTATAATTTGTATGGACAGTTAGTAGCAGATGTTCAATGTTACTATTACCACTTTTTACACTCTTCCTTTTTTCTCCTCCTATATATTACTTTTTCTCTTCATCTTTTCTCTTTTCATTTCTTGTTTCTTATTATTCTCTTCCCTCCTTCACCCTTTTCTCCACTTTCTTTTTTTCACTCCTTCTCCACTATCTTCTCCACTATGTCCTTCTTGGCTCTACTTCCTCAAAATTATCTTGGCTTTTATCGCTGCATTACTCATCCATATAAATTTGGCAATCAGCTTAAGTTATTAAATATTCTTGATATTTTTCTGACATTAAATTGGGAAAAAATTAATTCAAAAATAAATCTTTCTATTTAAGAACATAAAATATCTGTGCAGTTATTAAAAACATTTTCATGTTTTCAAAGATTATTTATAGAGTTTTTGCTTTTGTAATCGTTCATATGTGTCATGAAATTTATCCCAAAATACCTTCCAAATGTTTTTGTTTTTTTGGTTATTGGAATTTAAATACTTTTTAATGACATATTCAAATTTTTTTGAAAGAATAAGGGATGTTGCTAGTTTTATATATTGAGCTTTTTCAAAATTTCATTTGAAATTTTACTAATTTCAGTAGATTGAGTAAACAACTTTTGGATAGTTTCTCTGGAAATAATATGGGTAATACATCATGAAATTTGTTACCTTCTTTCTAATCCTTATATGTCATATTTTTCTTGCTTTATTTCAAATTGTATTTATTAGGATTTCAAATACAATGTTGACTAAGAAATGGTGCTAGTAGACATTCATTCTGATATTAAAGAAAATAAATCTAAAGCTTCACTATGAAAAATGCTATTTACAGTTTGGTAGTTACCATTTTCTGGCTAGAGAAATGTTGTTTTGATTACTAATACACACACACTCATACACAGGTGTTTTACATTTTTCAAATAGTTTTAATATTTGAAGTAATTTTTCTTTAATTATTAATTTGATAATAATTGACTAATAATATATTTATGATATTAAAGACAAGCAATTTTTACATTTGTCATTTAAAAATGTATGGTTAGGTTCACTGAATTAGTATTTTTACTAATTCACTAATTAGTAAAATTAGTGAATAATATTATTTTTATTTTTCACTTACTCTTTAATTTTGACATCAATGCAATACTAGTGTTTTATTACTTGTATTAGTTTGTTTTCTTCTTTCTCTATTTTATGTATACTTTTTCATGAAATTAACAAAACATGTCTCAGTGGTAATAATTTTGTTGGACCTATATGGCCAATACCTCCTTCCAATGAATGGGCATAACATAAGGCCTCAAAATGAGAAAGAGAATGACTTCAGGAGTCATGGAAGTGAAGTTTCCTGCAAAGCTGGAGAAATGGTAATTTGAAGGAAAAAGTAAATGATAAAAGTATAAAAACGTGCAATTCCTACACATCCAAAGTTATGAATTAAAAGCTTATTTTACTTAATAAAAAAATGCTTTTCTTAGAGAAAGAGAGGGAATTATTAATAGCAAGATGGTGACTTACTATTTACAAAATTAAATTTTTGTTCAATTGTGTGCAAATATATTTAATATGTTATTCCTCTGAAAATGAAAGTAAAGACCTGGGAGTTCGTGCAGCTTGACATTTCACTTTTGCTGGGGAGGTCTCAGGGTATAGAGTGACTTTAGTTTATGTTTACACTCGAAGGCAGAGAGTGAGACTGGAATACAGGCCAGCTGCCTTGACTCCACATAAAGTGCTCATTCCACAGCCCTCTGCTTTAGCTGAGGGTGAAGGGGCATTGAAGCAATCACATCAGAATCATCGTAATTCCCACTGGTGTAAAGAAAAATAAAGCGAAGAGTACTCCCTAAATGTCCTTGAAATTAATTATTTGCTAAATCCAAAAACATAACTAGTGTGAACCATTAGGTAATAGATAATACTTCAAAAAATATATACAGTATTGGATAATTGGGCGGTAAACATGTAACTATTGTTCTTTTATTTTCTAAGTGCTACAGGCATATAATGAAAAATTTACACATAGCTCTTTATAATAAACAAGTGTTGCAGAAAACTGTGCTGAGGCCAGGCACGATGGCTCACATCTGTAATCCCAGAACTTTGGGAGGCTGAGGTGGGCGCATCACCTGAGGTCAGGAGTTTGAGACCAGCCTGGCCAACATGATGAAACCCTATCTCTACTAAAAAACACAACAACAACAACAACAACAAAATAGCTGGACGTGGTGGTGGGCTTCTGTAGTCTCAGCTACTCGGGAAGCTGAGGCGGAGAATCTCTTGAACCCAGGAGGCGGAGGTTGCAGTGAGCCGAGATCGTGCCACTGCCCTCTAGCCTGGGTGGTGGAGTGAGACTCTGTCTCAAAAGAAAAAACAAAACAAAACAAAAACAAAAAAGGAAGCTATGCTAAAAGTATCTATTCATTTTTTAAAATGTTTACTGTATTTTGTGTGAGTACTAGGCTGTTTTACCATTACATGGCAAATCACTGTGCTTTATGCTACTTTGCAAGTGACTGAATGAAGGTATTATTTTACTTGAAGCAAAACTGACTATATCAAAGTTCTCAACATGTATAAACATCATTTGACCCCAATAGAGATTAGAAAATATAATATTATGGATGCTAGAAAATTTTACAGTAGACATAAGCAAATAAAAAATAAAAGCCATTTCTCTGAGACAACACCACCAACAGTATGAACAAGTGAAAGGGCCAGGGAGCAGGTATTTGTACTAATGTGGACATCTCAGTTATACTGCCAATCAAACCCGTCTATACTACTTAAGAAAATACTTAAATACAGAAACAAATGAAAATAGCTTCAATAGGACAATTTCAGCTATAATTTTATGTATAATAACTCTGAACTTCATAAGATATCTATGAAAGGAAGGATTCCCTAAATTCAATTCAGAATTGAACAGTGAAACTTAAAATATTAAATCTGGTTGCAAATTGGTATTGGTGATAATAGAAGTGAGCCTTTCTTTGGCCTAAAATATATGCTAAAAGATATCTATGTTTTAAATTTGTAGGGATGTAGTTTGGAAAATTATGTTTATTATCATGACCCCAAGGCCTACAAGATGCTTAAAAATATGTATCATTATACTATGCTTATTTGGGAATGAAATTGGCCCAATACACTTTACAGTGATTTTTTAATGCAATAAAAATTAAAACACAAATAATGCTTGGGTTAACTAGAAAATTATGTGTATTAGAAAACCTATTTTAGTGATGATTTAAGATGAGCTTTATTTTGTTAGAGGCATTTATGTCCCAAAATATTTTTTCTAATGATTGGTTTGTACTACTTAGGAAAACTGCATATCTGAGAGATGATTATAATTAGTGAAATGTTGAGTTAGTAGATGATTAATTTGTTTAATTAGACTTGTATCCTTTTTCTCAAGTTTTGGAAAATATATTGATTACCTTTTACATGTTCAGGATAGTTCATGAATTGAAATTTCAAACTATGTGAGTTCTAACTGGTCATACCATTAATTTGGCTTTGTTGGCATTAATTTGTCATTTTTCTTCCAAAGATGAATCATTAGCCCCATCTAGTAGAACAGCAAAATTTCCCTCTTTCATAAGCTGAGCGAATGTACTATATTTTAAACTAATTCTCTGGGTGATACCCCTGACAAACAACTGCCTTTTTGCTTATCAAGTCTTTGACTGTTTTCTAGTAAAAAGGAACAGTTGGGATTTTACATAGTTCCTCTTTCGTCTCCCAGCTTTCCTCTTGGAGCAAATAGAACATTTAGGCTCTAGGCCTTTTAATCATTCAGAAGAAATCAAACATGTAATCTCCCATCTAGATTATTTTTAAAACTCCGGAAAAGCTGATTACTTCACTAGGGTTTAGTAAAATACATATAATGTAGTTTGGTTTGTTTAACGAGATTTTTGTAAGGATAGATTCTTAACTCCTTCATTTATTTCAAAGATGTTCAGTACAGTCTCAAGAAAATATACCAGAAAGAACAATTTCATTCACATTAGTAAATCTTCTTTCCCCTCCCAAGACGATTGGTCTTTTTAAACTCAAGGCAGGATTAAGGCCTTTGGTGGCAAAGTAGTTAAAAAACATAAATTATTTATTATGTTTACCAGCTTGATTTCTATAATTTAAGGTGATATCTTTTATTTAGAAAATGCCAAACACAAATATATGTTAGAATTACTTTCTAAAATGTAAAGCACATTATTAATACGGTAATGGTTAAAACAATTTGCTTCTTTCATTTTCTCTAACTCACTTGTGACAATACTGGCTGTTCTGGGATTCACAGGGTTGGATACCCTCGTTATAAAAAGGGTGCTAAAATTTTGACTTTGACCATGAAATTTGTTCCACTCTTCTAAAGAAACATCACCAACCTGTAAACAGATTTTAACAACATGTCTTTCAAAGTCAAACAATGCAATTCTTATACAGAGAAGGACGCATTGACTGGTAATGAGGTGTGAGAAGTTTCAAATAGCTTGGTGTGGGACCAAGGTTAATATAATTATGGACCACAAACTCCAAGAAATCATTCACTCTCTTACTACCAGCCTGCAATAGAAGTGGTTTTTTCAGTCTTCAGTGCACTGATTTAAAATGATCTATTGATCTGGACCAAAGAAAGATGAATATACTAAGGAACTGAGGCTGCCTCCAAGTGATAATAAGCAGAACTGAAGGAATGTAGCTGTGGGATAGGGACTCTTCTTTCTACAAAAGCCTATGGCAAAAGCTGGGACTTTAAAGAACAATGACAAAGATTCGAAGAGGAATGTCATTCTTGTTGTCCCAGAGAAAATGCATTAAAAGGATGTCAGGAGCTACAGAGAAGACTCATACAAGTGAATAAAAGATGGGTTATTTGCACTTGAGAATAGTAACAGGAGTCAAAGAGAATTCCACAACTTTGGTAACTGGGGATGCTTTACTTGTTTCTATAGATTAAAAATAAAAAGCAAAACAAACAAACAAAAACCCTAAGGTACATGTGATGTTTTGATACAGGCATACAATATGTAATAATCAAACCCCCATAAATATATACATCTATTATGCACCCATGATAATTAAAAATTTTTAAAAACCCATGGGAAATGAAAAATACTGCAATTAAAAAGCCCATCAAATCTTTTAATCAAGAACATTTTCCTGTGTGCACTGATAAAGAAATGATAGTATTGCCTATGTGTTACTGCAGTCTATGTGTACCTGCTTATTTTTGATTGCTCGTGGACACCAATATAAGCACATATGTTTTGTAGACAATCTCTCTTTAATAATTATATAATGGAAAATAATGCATATTTAATTGTTTTGGATTGCAAACAAACTAGCTTTTAAAAGTAGGTATCTAAATTACAGAAGCCCTTTGTGTTTGTGACAGAAAATGTAGATATTACAATTTTCTATGATTCTGTTCTCATTATACATTGTTACTTCAGTTACTTAGGTACTTGGGTTTAAAGAAGTTTGTCCATGTCAGATTCTTCAGTGAGAATTTCCTTAAGTGTTAGGAGAGAAATTACTTCAGCATGTTATCCTTTCCCCAGTATAAAAATAAGAAACATGTAATAGTATTTGTTCTACTTAAGCATCAGCGTAAACACTGTGTAAACATGTAGGTCAGGATTGATCACCTTTACCAGTTTTCCATGATCATATTTAGACACTTTAGTAATTGAAAAGTAAAAGGAATATAAGTGAAATATTTTCATTTTCTCTCTCTCATGCTTCATCCAGGCGGCCTTACCATTCCACAAAGCCTTTCTTCACACTGTGGTTCTAGTTTTCCACACTTCTCCTCTTAGCACCTTCTGGGATATTTCACGGGAACAGAACTCAGGCATAAGTGACTTGTGGACGTGTTCCTGAGAAAACACCAAGCAAATGTGCTTTCGGCTTGGCACCCACAGCTGTAAATGGAAATGAGGAAAGGAATAATTGCAATTGTGAAGGAGTACGTGTAATGTGGTACAAAGTACATGGCTCTCGACTCAGGAAAACCTGAATGTAAAAATCCTGCCTTTGCCAAATATTTAGCTATGGCTTTGACCTCTCCAGGGCTCTCTATGCAAAACGGGGATAATAAGATCTACCTAATGGTATTATCATGGTATTTCATTGTCTACATATAAAGTTTTTATTTTAGCAAATACATATAAAATTAAAAGGAATGCTGCAAAAAACAGCA
The DNA here is from genome assembly GCF_000001405.40 of Homo sapiens. NCBI lineage: Eukaryota > Metazoa > Chordata > Mammalia > Primates > Hominidae > Homo > Homo sapiens. The sequence continues at coordinate 71,305,546 of NC_000013.11, read as the reverse complement.
ATCTAACAGCCAGACCTTCCCATCTCTAGTTCCCTGACTAAATCACTTTTAGCATTTTCACTTGTTTCTTCAGTATTATGCTATATATTTTTCCAGTAATGACTTTATAATGCTATTTTATAATGATTTTAACTAACAATTATATAATTTCAGACACGGAAGAAATAATTTTCCCTCTCCCAGCTGTACTGTATGGTTATGCATTTTAGGTAAATCAACATTCAGTGCTTTTGTTGAATGATTTCATAGTATTGTCTGCCAGTGAACCATGGCATATAAAATAAGTACATTAATGTCTATACACCAAACTTGTGTTACCTGGAGTCAATAAGTCCTGCACTGCATAATTTGATAATATTTTAAGACCTGTTAATAATTCATCTCTGCACGGTATTAAAGAACTGTAAATATTCCATTTATAAGGTCAAACACATAAGGTATTTATCACTTCCTTGTGTGTCTATCTGTCCATACGTGATGTTTTTCTTGTACCCGCTGCTCCCCAAGCATGCTGGCAGGTTCTTATCAGGGAGTTTCTTTCAATAGAAAATCTCTTTGGCTCTCTTGATTAGATCCTTTGCTTCTCCTTGCTTTGTTTGTCTTTTTAGAGAAACACATCTTCAGGAAGCTTCTTGAAAAAAACCTGTGCTGGAAATTTTAGATCCTGCATATTTGAAAATATGTTTTGAATTCCTGAATGTTTGAAAATGTTTTTTAAGATCATATTTGAAAGACAGTTTTTTCTATTATTAGTGGTAATTCTCTCTAGGTATTTCAAAGGCATTCTTCATTGTCTTCTAGCTGCCAGTGTTGCCATTATGAGTTTAAGGCTAATTTGATTACTGACAGTTTGTGATATTTTTGTTGTTATTACTCCCACTTTATTCCTCAATCACAGAAGATATTTGATTCTTCTCTTTGTTACCATTACTCTAATATTTCTCAGTGCTCTGCCTCAATATGACTTTTTTTCCATTAATTTTCCTGGAAAATCAGATGTCCTTTTAATTTAGAAAGCTGGTTCTTTAGAAAAAACATTTCATTAACTCTTGACTACATTCCTCTATCTAATTTCTCAGTTTTCTCTGTTATTCCTTTTGGTCAGATAATGGAAATTATGTATTTATCTTTTAGTTTTTCTTTTTTCTTTGGTTTTCTATTATTTTATCATTTAAAAATTCTTTTGGGGAAACTCCTACAAATTTTTTAAAAATTTCTATTGATTTTTCCAATGTACTGTTATGATTATATTCTCTAATTACCAGGGGTCCCTTTTATTTTTTCTTTTTGTAGTATCCACTTCTTCTTCACACTTAACAACATCTCTGATCTTTCTCAAGATTTTTCAATTGGTACGGATGTTTTATTGGTCCTGCATTAAACTTATTTTTTAGTTCTGTTTTTGTTTGTTTTACTCCTCGTCTTTCATGTTAGAGATTTTCTTCAACTATCTATTGAGTCTTTACTGACAATTCATAATCAAGAGTACAGAACTAAACAGATGTTTGCCAAGTTATGCATGCGTGGGGCTTGTGGAATGGTGGGGTTCACCAGAGGAAAAAGAAGTGGGGACATTTCACTGGGGAATCCCTCATGACATATTTGTCAGTCTTTTCTCTTGGACTTGGCAGCTTCCCTGAGTGTAATCCTTAGTCTCCCTCCCACATGATGTAAGCTTCCAGCTTCCAGATTTCTGGGGATTGATTTGGCAAAGGAGGCAGGGATCTCACTGTTTGGTGTAAATAATTTCCCTTAGTGCCTTTGTTTTCAACATTATACCTCACTCTTGTCTTTATTTATTTATTTATTTTTGAGATGGAGTGTCGCTCTTGTTGCCCAGGCTGGAGTGCAATGGTGTGATCTCCGTGCAGCCTCTGCCTCCTGGGTTCAAGTGATTCTCCTGCCTCAGCCTCCTGAGTAGCTGGGATTATAGGCATTCGCCTCCACACCAGGCTAATTTTTGTGTGTGTGTGTTTGTAGTAGAGATGGGGTTTCACCATGTTGGCCAGGCTGGACTTGAACTCCTGGCCTCAGAAAAAAGTGCTGGGATTACAGGTGTGAGCCACCATGCCTGGCCTCTCATCCTCAAATGTGCCTAATTTTCTTATTTCCCGAATTGGGCTGATTTAATTATCCCAAGATTAATTTTGCTAGGTGGTCACCTTGCTATGTTGGGTAAAGGAGGACACCTGGTGGAGGTTTGCTCCCAGATTTGTGATCCACACTTTTGTGTTTGCCTCAATCCTTAATCTCTACCATCACAAGTATATACTGTCTCCATCACTTGGGCCTTTCAGGATTCTGCAATGTGAAACACGTTGCATCTCGTTGCTTAACTAGTAGTGTTCTTATCTCTGAAAAGATTCACTTTCAAACAACAAGAACTACTTTACTTAGTTCAAGCATAAATGCATTTATTGTCAGGATTTTAGAAGAATAGACTCCTACATATAGCTCCAACTACCTGCAATCTCACTGAGTCTGCTGTGATTGAGAAGTTCTTTCCTCTGATTTAGGAAACCACCAAATTAGGAAGCCTCTGCAACAATCTGCAACAGAAAAATAATAATTTTCCTCAAATTACCTTTTCCTTTGAATTCCCTTGAATTTACAGTTTTGAGTAAATGTATCTGATTGTGGAAATTCAATCACATCTAGAACCCAATGGGATGAAAGTCTGAGAATGTACATTTCAGCCTAAGTAGTATCTTCTGAGGAGGGAGAAGTGAGTGTTGAGAGAGATGATCTATTATCTATCCACCCATCTACCTAGCTATCTACATTTGCAGCAACTTGCTTGGTTCACACAACAATATAAATTGGATATTTTAGCTCCACTTTCTTCTTGTTAAATATATACAATTACATATGATTGAATGAGTTTCTTCAACCATGCTCGTTTTTACCCAGGCATAGAAATAGAGAAATCAGATGCTTGAATTGATTCATGGTTTGAGTTTTACATACTGAGTACAAGGGCATGGATAAGACAATGGAGAAGGATAATTGATAGACTACAATAATTGAGGAGAAAGAATTTTTGGAAAATACTCATATCACCCTTAAAGAACTTAAGGTATTGATCAATTTATTAGAATAAATTGTTACCTGAAAAGTTTGAAACCTATTTTAGCTACTGTAAGCAGGAAGTACTATGTCAAAGTTTAGAAGAAACTCTTTCAAGGATAGAAAATCAAACTTGAATGCTACCCCTACCAGAAAGACCCAAAATATGTTGATGAATGGGCTCAGCAGAATGCCTGTGGCCTGGGTTCGGTCACAGACCCTGCAGAAAGAATTGCTGATGCTAGGCACTATGCATTACTCTATAAGATCCTGTCCTTTGCTGTGGAAACCTGGATTCCTCTGCTAGCATTCTCAGAAAAATGGGTTCCAGGGAGACCTGTTTTTTCAATGTGCATCTGAATTGATGTTTCTTGTAGGTGAATCTAATGAACAGATTTTAGGTATTATGCTTGTGTCTTAGTTGCAAGAGAGTTTTTACTTTTGTAATTTAGCAAAATATGGCACAATAAGGTGGGAAAATCCAAATGTCCATTATGATGGAACTGAATAAGACATATAAAACTGAAAGCGCTAATGAAATAGGATGTTGAAATCAATTTTTATGTTATTAGAATTTAATATTTAATTGATGTTGTCATTGCAGTTAAGGGCAAGTATTTATAATATAGTAGGCACTAAGTAAATGCTTGCAGAATAGTTGAAGAATGTTAAAACATATGAAATATGGCAAATATGTATAATAAAAATAACCTGGAAGTGTGGATGGAAAAAGAATGATTATTCGTGCATTTAAACTAAAATTTGGAAGTTTTGTATAGGTCTTCAACATACATCATAGCAATTATAGTGGCAATGGATAATGAATGACAAATTAGTTTTATTGATAGCCATTTATTAGAATTTTCATAATTCTAGCAAAATGGTAAAGTAGTATTTAAAAAAACTTTGAATCAACATATTTTTCATATGTTTGGTTTTCTCTGCATTTTAGAGTACTTAAAATTGTATCAAACGTACATTACATAGCATAATCTAGGAAGAAAACGCAACTCTGAGTATACTTTCTAGAAATTAATATATCAGAAATTATGAAATTTGTTTTTAAAGTTATAATAAGTAACTTTAGTCTAATACGTACTTTAAATTACTAACGCATGTTGGTAGCAAAAATAAAATGTCCTTGGAGCAGCAATTTCCATGCACAACCAGAATGTTTCCCACTGATTTACTTATTCATAGAAAAGACAGTGTTAGATCAATTTTATCATGCCAGTGTCTCTTTCTAAATAAATGGAACCAATATTTTCTTCAAGGATATACTTTAAACATTAGTTAATATTACTTACACTTCAGAACTGCTGGTTTTAGAGCATATTTTATATTATCTCAATGGAAACTGCTTACATTAATGGAGATTGGCATATGTGTTGCTTCTATTCTCTTGTATTGATGTTATTGTAATATTTACAGATTTTTTCTAAAGTTATTTTTCTTCATTTTAAGATTAGATTGAGTCGTGTTCTTATTTAATAATAGTAAGATATGAGAGTCAGTCAAAAACAAATTGCAGACACATATCTCCTATATCATAATATAAACTTTAAAGAAAGTTTAAAGAAAGATTGAAGATAAAGGGTTAGAAAGAGATTAAAGGTAGTAGGAAAGAGGAGAAAAATAAAGAGAAAAGAAAGGTAGAGGGAAAGTTTTTTAAGAGAGCTCAAATAGGTGAGAGGAGAGAGAAAGTTTGATATAAAAAATGGGATAGCAGAGAGAAGAAGGAAAACAGAAGAGAAAGTAAACTTAAATAGTATCATAAATAATCTATAAAAGCAATTGTTAGTTTATTGATGGAGGCAAATTAGTTTATTGATGGAGACAAAAAGGAGTAATTTTTAAAGAATGTTTTGTAAAATAAATGAATGAAATCTAATCATGTCGTCACCACCAGGCCTGCCCTATAAGAAGAAGAATCTTATATAAAGAATATGATAATATAACTGTCATACTGAGTCACATGAACTCTAGAGAAACAACATAGTTTCTTTGATGTTTTTCAGGAAAGCATGCCAGTTGCCCTCCACACCCAGACCTTGGGGAGTCTGTGATCCCTAATTTCCTTTTGGTAACCCATTATAAACTTCATTCATGAATTTATCTAAGCCTTTCCTGAACCTATTTATATTTTCAGAGTATATAACCTTCTGGGGTAATGACTTGCATATGTTTACTACCAACTGTGTAAAGCAGTGAAGTACAAAGCATAAATCCCTTTTATCTTTTATGCTGCAGTGGGCATCCTGTAGTCCTGGTGCTCTTTAATTTGGTGAAAGGAATCCATCTTTATACTTCACAATTTGGTAGAGTCTGAATCCATGCAGTCTCATCTGTAATTTGATAAAACTTAATATTCCTAACTTTTCACAATATTCTGACATAGAAACAAAGGCTGTGGCACATAATGGAAATAACTTTTAATAAGTTGCATTTTGAGGGGAAATTATTTCATATGTATAGGTCCCGAAATCATCATCTAGAAATCAAAGTGCTAGATAATTCCTAAAATCCTTTCTATGCTTCAACTTGCCTGTGCTTTAACACCCATCACACACACTCTGTCTCCTCCCCAGAAATTGACGTGGAAGGGAAGGAGAAAAGAAGAATATGTGATGATGGAGTTATTAACATCAGGCTTAAAATCTCATTTTCTCCACTTCCTGGCTCTACATCCTTAAAGAAGTTAGTTACTTCTCCATGCTGTTGCAGAAAGTCAGGGACCCCAAATGGAGGGACCAGCTAGAGCCTCAGGAGAGGAACATAAATTGTGAAGATTTCATTTTAATATGGACATATTTCAGTTCCCAAAATTAATAATTTTATAATCTCTTATGTCTGTCTTTACTGCAATCTCTGAACATAAATTGTGAAGATTTCATTTTACTATGGACATTTATCAGTTCCCCAAATTAATACTTTTATAATTTCTTATGCTGGTCTTTACTGCAATCTCTGAACATAAATTGTGAACATTTCATTTTACTATGGACATTTATCAGTTCCCAAAATTAATACTTTTATAATTTCTTATGCCTGTCTTTAATCTCTTAATCCTGTTATCTTCATAAGCTGAGAATGTACATCACCTCAGGACCACTATTGTGTTAAACTGTACAAATTGATTGTAAAACATGTGTGTTTGAACAATATGAAGTCAATGCACCTTGAAAAAGAACAGAATAACAGCAATTTTCAGGGAACAAGGGAAGACAACCATAAAGTCTGACTGCATGTGGGGTTGGGCAGAATAGAGCCATATTTTTCTTCTTGCAGAGAGCCTATAAACAGACGTGCAAGTAGGGAAGATATCACTGAATTCTTTTCGTAGCAGGGAATATTAATAATTAAGACCCTGGGAAAGGAATGCACTCCTGGGGGGAGGTCTACAAATGGCAGGAGTGTCTGTCTTATGCGGTTGAGATAAGGACTGAAATATGCCCTGGTCTCCTGCAGTACCCTCAGGCTTATTAGGGTGGGGAAAAAAACCCACCTTGGTTAATTTGAGGTCAGACTGATTCTCTGCTCTCAAACCCTGCTTTCTGTTGTTTAAGATGTTTATCAAGACAATATGTGCACAGCTGAACACAGACCCTTATCAGAAGTGTTTGATTTTGCCCTTTGCCTTGTGATCTTTGCTTTGCCCTTTGCCCTGTGATCTTTATTGGCCTCAGAAGCAAGTGATCTTTGTTCTCCTTTTTCCCTTTGAAGCATGTGATCTTTGTGACCTACTCCCTGTTCGTACACCCCCTCCCCTTTTGAAGTCCTTAATAAAAATCTGCTGGTTTTGCAGTTTAGGTGGGCATCACGGTCCTACTGATATGTGATGTCACCCCCAGAGGCCCAGCTGTAAAATTCCTCTCTTTGTACTCTTTCTCTTTATTTCTCAGCTGGCTGACACTTAGAGAAAATAGAAAGAACCTACGTTGAAATATTGGGGGTGGGTTCCCCTGATACCATGCTTCACTTTCTTCATCACCAAATTGGAGATGATAATAATTCTAACTTTATTTTTATTTTTTAGGTTATTTTATTTATTTTTTGTTAATAAATGTTCATATATTTATACTTATATGTATACACATACATATTTATACATAAGCAAATATACATTTATATACTCTTAAAAAGCATCTGTCATATAATAAGTACTATACAAACGTTAACATATATGCATGTAAATCCATAGATATGGAGGAAGAGAGTAAGAGAGAGAGAGAGAGAGAGCACACAACTACGCTTCCCTACATCCATCCCCTTGTGTGTTCCTATCCCACATTGACACTGGGCTGTGACTTGCTTTGGCCAATGGAGCATCAACAAATGTGAAATAAGCCTAGTTTTGATTAGTGCTTTGGCATGGGGTTTGTTGCCCTTTTGGAATGCTTTTCTGAGACCACTATGTAAAGAAATCTAGTCTACCCCCTCCAAGCCAAATGGAGAGAGAAGTCCAGCCATCCCAGCCAGAGCCCAGAGCCCAGTTGGCCACTAACTAAATATAGTCACGTAAATAAGCCCATGTGAGCCCAGGAGAAGAACCACCCAGTCAATCCATGGAATCATAATAAAATAAATTGTTTCTCTTTTAAACCAATACATTTAGGGTGTTTTGTTACACAGCAGTATATACTGATACAACTAGTACTTTAATCATCTCTGGTTCTTTTCTATGATCTTGTCTTCAGAATTCATGACAGGGACTGAAAATTTATATAAAACTAAGCTAATATATTTGAATCCCATTTCTTATTACCAGAAGTACACACCATATTTACAAATTTGACAAAAATGAGCTTCATGTTAGTGACAGGGAAAAGAACTGACAGATAAATGATGTCTTATTTAGTGTTCCCTGGAAAACAGACTTGGAGACAGATATTAACATGCATGAAGTTTGTTGAAAAGTATTCTTGAGATTAATATATGTAGGGGAGTAAGGAAAGTAGGATTAGACATTGGGAGAAATTAAACCGCAATATAGTTGATTTAGTTGATGCAGGGCTTTCAGCAGATCACACATGGAGCTCTGGAGCTGTGATGGCCCTTCAGAATTATTCCAAGTTTAAATAAGAGGGCCAACCCTTTGTACCATAGCTTTGACTAGTCATTGGATGAAGCTGCTTTTACCTCACAGAAGATAAATCTTGGTTTTATCAGAGAGAGACTGTAACCTTGGGTGATGCAGCTCTTTTTACTGAGGCATATTTTTTTCTTTAATAAAATATGAATTTTACTAGTCAACTACTGTTATAACATGCTCATTATAGATTTCCTATTCTGTATCCATTCCATCAAACACAAAACAGAATAGTGTATCAGTCTGGCTTTCTTCAGGTGGATCACAGCCTTGCGTTGTCAGCAAAGTCCTCTTTCTTAGTTTCACAGCTTACAATGACAGAAATTGACTCTTATTTCTCTGATGTAGATATTACCAGCCTTGGAATTATATTCATTAGATGGTCAATTGTACAGGGCGGATGGGGAAGGAGATGCCAAATTTAAGCAGGGTCCAATTCTGCTTTCCTATGTAATGTTAGTATTGAGCCTAGTGCTCCTGTGAAAGTCATTTCTTCTAACGATATACGTACGTTTCTTCACAACCACAGCTAAATGTGTGACACATCCTGTGGGAATGGCCCCAATGGGACTCAGTTTCTACAACTTTATGCCACTTACATCAATGAAATGCAGATCATCATAGAATTTTTCACCTGATGACCCTCTATGAATGAAGAGCTTTGTCCCTGCTGCCATCATCATGTGGTCATCCCAGGAAAAGATGGTTATCTATAGGTCTTTGGTTGATAATGGGTCAGTGTTTATGCCAAACACAAGTGGCTTCCATGCTCCAGGGGCTAGGTTCTTCACTCTTCACCAAAAACATACAGGTGGTTTCCAGTGGCTTCTGATGATATGTGGAGTATTTTGGGGTGGGATGGGAGTGAGAGTGGGAGTAGAGACTGATCATCTCAGGCATGACCGAGCTCCTGCTTTCAGAATTCAGGACTTGTAGAAAATTTGGATTAGCCAGTGCCTCCAAACACCCAGATATCAGATTTATAGGGTGTACATCTGAAACACTCCCATCTGATTTGATCTCTCAACAATGAAGAACTTTTTTCTTGGCATCAACAATTGTGGGGGAAATATAAACACCTATGGCCAATCCAGGTATAATGTCATCTTCGTGTTGGGCTATGGGGCACCATATTGCTTTCTTGGGTTTCTTTCTAGATTCCAAGACTAGCATCAGCTTCATGGTATCTCAGTAGACTAAATTCCAAAAGGGTGGGTGATACAGTTTAGCTTTGTGTCCTCACCCACATCTCATGTTGAATTATAATTCCCAATGTTGCAGGTGGGGCCTAGTGGGAGGTGACTGGATCATGGGGATGGTTTCTAATGGTGTAGCACCATCCCCTGAGTGCTGTCTCATGATAGAGTTCTCACAAGATCTTGTTGTTTGAAAGTGTGTAGCACCTCTCCGTTTGCTCTTTCTCTCTCCTGCCAGCCATGTGGATACACACTTGCTTCCCCTTTGCTTTCCACTATGATTGTAAGTTTCCTGAGGCCTCCCCAGGAAGCAGAAGCCTGTACAATCTACAGAACAATGAGCTGATTAAACCTATTTTCTTTATAAATTACCCAGTCTCAGGTATGTCTTTATAGTAGTGTGAGAATGGACTAATACAGTGGGCCTTTGGAATTTACTCAGATGTCTCCAGAAGCCACCAAAGGGCCCAGCATAGATTAGAAGTGAATGAGCAATTGGTAAATGAAGAAAGAAAATGGATGAACAGATATATGAATGGGTGCAACCAGGTATATAGACCACTGACTTCCATCCTCAAAGCCCAGAATTCATCAGAATTCTGTCGCTCTTACAGCTGCCCTGTCTAAAATCCTATCCCTACATAGCAATATTGGAAGGAGGAAAAGAATTGGGAAATAAAAATAAGCTGATTCTTTTTGCTCAGTGTTGCTGAGCAGACTCCAAGAAGGCCCTCACCAGCCCTTTCCACTGTGCCCTAGCCCCCTTCCCTAAAGGACCTGGCTGTTGGGAAAAAGAGTACCTTGGTGCTGGAGGTGAGAAATCTGAGCAGAAGCATATAGCATTCATTACACATGGTTTGCCATAACGTACAGCAATATAAAAACTTTGTTGCAGTTTCGTCTACAGAAATTTCTAAGAGACTAAGGAAATGGTTGACATAGGAAAATACGCTTCAAAAGAAAGTAGTATAGCTACGTATCCTTTTTAAACTTTGAAAATTTAAAAGATAAATGGAAAACTTATTTGAACACACTCAACAACTATATATTTTGCAATTAAGTAAACTAAATGCCTTTAGAAAAATAAGAGGCGTGTGGAAATAATCAAGGCAATCTTCCCTAATTAAAGCCATTGTACTAAAAGTGCTTGATAGCTTCTTGATACCCTGATAGCTGCTCAGGGTAAATTTGAGTCTCTCCATTCCCTTTTTGTTTTAATCTTGGGGTATGTGCTCCAAAAATTATCATCAAACCCATTCTCCCTTTTATTTGTATAAGGTAATATATAGAATGGATTGATCTGGCCACATTACACACACACACACACACACACACACACACACACACATGCACATGAAATGCCGTAAATAATAATGACTTAACTGAAAAGAAGATCATTTCTTTCTAATAAAGTAAGTCTAATAAAAGTAGTCCACAGCTGACACAGCAGCCCCTTGCTGTCTTCCAGCTCTTTGCTTGGCCACCGTTAGCTATGGCTCTCACTGATCTAAGATGGCCAATGGAGCTTCCACCATCCCAATTGCATTTTAGTTATTAGAATGAACTAAGAAAAGGAGAAAGTGAGCACAGGTTTGTATTTTTCCTAAAGTGCTCTGTTCTTCTATATATAACTTATTGCCTGGAACTTAGTCACACTGTTATAGCTAGCTGCAAGGAAGTTTGTCCAGTATGCATATAGCTCAATATGTAAGGTCACTGGATGTTTGCTGACCACTCTATTAGGTGTACCTCTAGCTCTTTATTGTTTGGGGACTTACTAGACTAAATGAAAACTTATCTGTCTGAAACACACGCAGAAGAAAAGGAGCAGCAGGAACAGATGTAAAATAGGAAATTGTGCTCATTAGCTCATCATAATAGTAAGATTCTGCTGGGCATAAATAGTTAAGCCCCCTAACCTAGTAATATAAGAGTCCCTGGTTACCTTACCTGTTCCTACTTCTGCTCTCTATAGAAGCGCTACTTCCATTGTCTGCTCTTATCTCTTGCTCCACCCTTTTGGGTAGGTTCTTCCTTTTCCTGAGCTCTCCATGGCTATTTCTAAGGTGGGCAATAGAAAGCATCCTTAATTAAGCCCCCAAATATCCTGCAGCCCAATTCATTTCAGTGCAGTTTCAGGTACTATTAAAATTTCAACAGTAATAGGCAGGTGCAGTCCAAGCTTGTGGTTTCTTTTGGCTTTCAGATCTTGTAGTTTTTAAGCCTGATTGTACCTTGAGACCACTTAAAAGGATAGACTTGGGTGGGAAGACAACATACTTAATATGATATTTGCTTCTAGCTTGCTTCCCATTGTCTGACAAAGAACTATTCATGGAAGGTCTTTTTAAAAGCTTTAATACCAGTGATTAATCTCCTGCTAAGGCTGTTTCTTTGGAGTAAACTTACAAGGGTTTCAGTTTGGAATGCAGAGCACTTGTCTTTTTTTTTTTTTTAATTCTGAAAGGCTCCAAATTTAATGCTTTTACACTGCAGACGAGAGAGAGAGAGAATTCCTCCCTAACATCTCTGCCTGCAGATAAGCTGGATCAAAGTTGAGCTCATCTCTCCTAGAACTCTGTTGAAAGCAACAAGAAACAGCTAGCACAGACAACATTTTATTTTATTTTTTAACACTTTCCCTTAAGGGTATTTGATCTGCTTTCCTGACAGCCTTTTGTCTGCTTTCCAAAGTGTGGCAGACAGCATTTTGGCCAAATCTTTTATCAATGAAGTATGTATTGCCAGGTTCTCAGCCTAAAATATTGGGAACACATTTTAGGCTCCAATATTGTATTATTGCATGCCCATGAAACAGATTCTATGTACATTAGGATTGTGATAGTCTGGAAATAACAGAGACTTAGAAAGTAGATTCTTAAAAAATATGTAGATTTATTTTTCGCTTTGAGATGTCAAATAGTTCCTGGCTGATAGAAAAGACTCCAATGCCATCAAAAGCTTACATCTTTATCTTTATTCTGCACCATTCCTGTGAACTTATTGCTAAGTTCACTTGGAAGGCCAGTGGGGCTGCTGCAGTTCTGATCATTATGTCCACGTGGCAAACCACAAGAAGGAAGGTATTAAATAAGGTGACTTGGGAGGCCGAAGCAGGCAGATTGCAAGGTCAGAAGATCGAGACCATCCAGGCTAACACGGTGAAACCCCATCTCTACTAAAAATACAAACACAAAATTAGCCAGGCATAGTGGCAGGTGTCTGTAGTCCCAGCTACTCACGAGGCTGAGGCAGGAGAATGGCGTGAACCCAGGAGGCGAAGCTTGCAGTGAGCCGAGATCACACCACTACACTCCAGCCTGGGCGACAGAGCGAGACTCTGTCTCAAAAAATAAAAATAAAAATAAAAATAAATAAATAAATAAATAAATAAAGGTGGCTCCACTGGGAGGTAGCTCATTTAAAAAATCCTCATTTGTCTAAGTTGAATCATCTTGCTTAATAACCTTCCCAGTTGTCCTGTTACAGGGAGTTAGACAGGCATAAGCTGGGCAGGAGAGAGCTCTCCCCAACCCACAAGGAATGTTGGGTGCTGGTTCAGCAGTTATCACATCGCCTCTCTAAATGTGATAAATTGGCAGCTGGCACCAGGGAGAGACCATTTCCTGATGGTCCACACCTGTTGCACTAAAGTGTTAAATGAATGCAGATTCCAGGGAGAGGCAACTTACTGGGCATGTGCATTAAGAGACAAAATGGCAAAGTTGGACCTTCCTGGGACACACCACCAGAAAAGGGAAAAAAGCCGCAGATGGGCATGCATACAACTTCCTAAACACTGTGTGTACTTACCTCCCAAGCGTAAGGACACTGTTCATGTGGAAAGCCCACCATAAGGGAAGAATCATGGGGAAGGGACCAGCCTATCAAGTCCTAGGATCAAGGCGAAACATTACACCTGACTTTCACATGCCTGTTTGTGTCTTGTCCAAGCGTACTTTTCTTTCTTTCCTAGTCTAAAGCCTTTTAAAATAAACTTCCACTCCTGTTCTGAAACTTGCCTTGGTCTCTTTTTCTGCCTTATGCCCTCAGTCAAATTCTTTCTTCTGAGGAGGCAAGAATTGAGATTGCTGCAGATCCATACGGATTCGCTGCCAGTGACTCGATGCCTACTATCGGTAACATATTTGGTGCCTTAAGACTCAACTACTTGCACTGGTAACACATTTGGTGCTGTGAGACTCAGATATTTCTCACCCATAACAGTCCCACCCAACACTCACATACCAGTTTTCAGAATTTAGTCCTCTGGTTGGCAAAGTTCCAAGAGAGATTAGGAACTGTTGTCTTTTGTTCTAGATAGCAATATGTCCAACTAAAAATTGAGTTTCTGCTATTAAGGAAGAAGAAGAGAGACATAGTTGAGGTAGAAGACAGGAGTAAAATGAAAGCTAGATGTCTTCTTTTATTGTCTGGCTAAACCACTCCCTTTCTGAAAGGTCAATGTATGGTGTGATGTCCACAGAATCACAGCTAGGGACACTATCTATGTAATTTACAATACTTTAACATTTGAAAAGGGACACCATTTATATGCTGGAACAATAAATATAAACTAAGATCCTCCTGGGAAAATCAAGATATATAAGCACTGCTATCCTAGTTAAGAGAAACCTCACTAGCTCCTGTCATTTACCTTCTCAGTAACCTAAGGCTAATGTCAATGTTTCGGTAACAGACAGATTGCTGTTTCAGTAAACAGTGTTTCGGTAACAGTGAGGGACTAAGTGGCTAAGTTGGCTGGACTTCCTGGGTCAATAGGGACTTCCCTAAGGGGACTTTCCCCTAAGCCAAAAATAAGTCATAGCTGCAAGCTAAGGGATTGAAACTTCAACCAATCAAAGGGGACCTTCCCCTAAGCCAAAATGAGTCACAGCTGCAAGCTAAGGGATTGACACTTCAACCAATCATACAGGGAGTTTAAGCTCTAGCTGCAGCCTGATGTTTTTAACCAATCAAGCCTGCCAACCCACAAGCGGATTGAAAATAAGCTAATTCTATAGGATAGAAAAAGGAAAAGAGGAGGGGTCATAAGGGGATATAAGCATAAGACACCCAAGCCAAAAACGGCAACCTTTCCGGGTCTCCTTCCACCTCGTGGAAGCTTTACTTTCGCTTTCACTTTACTTTCACTTTAATAAATCTTGCTGCCACACACTCTTTGGGTGCACGCATTTCTCCAATTGAGCTGTAACACTCGCCGCTGAGGTCCATGGCTTCATTCCTTGAAGTCCATGAGATCACGAACCCTTTGAGAAAAAAACCTTCCATGAGGAGAAGACTTCTGGTCTCAACAGGAATAATATTAATAACCAATATTAGTAGACCAAACATGTTTGCAGATATCTTGTTTGCTGCCTTCCCCAAACGGCTGAAACATTTTGAAAACAAATGAAAACAACAACAACAAAAATAAAAGTTTTAGAAATAAGTTTATTTAACACAATAGTTAAACTAATTGCTCAAATTCAGAGTAGTGAAAGGCAAAGTCAGGATTTTATCTCCAGTAGTGGTCATTGCTCAAAAATACTGTAAGTAAAACTAACAATCCTTTGTTGACTGGGGCAGAAAAGTACAGTCAAAACAAACAATAGACCACCTAAGACCTGTGGGAAAAAGCTAAGAAATGTTGTTTGTTTGTTTTAGAAACTAGAACTCTCAAAAGCAACACGCACACTTGGGAATTTAGAAAGCCAAGAGGCATGTTCAGAAAACACCTGAGATGACCTTAACCTTTCAGGTTGGGCTGATATTTAGGCTCAGTGCAAGCTAGGCTAACTGTTGAAGGAGTATCCCAGTGAGAGGTGAAGCCAGCTGGGCTTCTGGGTTGGGTGGGGACTTGGAGAACTTTTCTGTCTAGCTAAAGGATGGTAAACACACCAATCAGCACTCTGTGTCTAGCTAAATGTTTGTAAACACACCAATCAGCACTCTGTAAAAACGGACAAATCAGCACTCTGTGTGTAGCTAAAGGTTTGTAAATGCACCAATCAGCATTTTGTAAAAACGGACCAGTCAGCACTCTGTAAAATGGACCAATCAGCAGGGCATGGGAGGGGCCAAATAAGGGAATAAATGTTGGCCATCCCAGCCAGCAGCAGCAACCCGCTGGGGTCTGCTTCCACACTGTGGAAGCTTTGTTCTTTTGTTCTTTATAATAAATCTTGCTGCTGCTCACTCTTTGGGTCTGCACTAGCTTTATAAGCTGTAAAACTCACTGCGAAGGTCTGAGGCTTCACTCCTGAAGTAGGCGGGACCATGAACCCACCAGGAGGAACAAACAACTCCAGACGCGCCACCTTTAAGAGCTGCAACACTAACTGCGAAGGTCTGCGGCTTCATTCCTGAAGTCAGCGAGACCACACACCCACCAGAAGGAAGAAACTCCAGACACATCTGAACATCAGAAGGAATAAACTCTGGACACACCATCTTTAAGAATTGTAACACTTACTGTGAGGGTCTGCAGCTTCATTCTTAAAGTCAGCGAGACCAAGAACCCACCGGAAGGAACCAATTCTGGACACACAAGCATGGAGATAATGTGCAAAGACTGGCAGAGGTCTGTCTGTCTTTTTCTTTTTTTTTGTGTCCCTTCCCTTCCCTTCTCTTTCTTTCCTTTTTCATTCATTCTTTCCTTTTTCATTCATTCTATTTCTTTTCTTTCTCTCTTTCTCCTTCCTTCCTTTCTTCCTATTGGCTCCTTGCCTTCAAAGACATCTCTGTGAAAGCACTAGCTGAACACAAGCTATGCAGAAGAGATGTCAACACTTTACATGATCAGAAATGAAGTTTTTACAGGAATAGTTTGGGTAGGTCACTTTTCAGGTAGCAGACCCTGAGGAAGAGGGAAAATCTGAGTTCCAGAGTTGCTACATTGTAAGATTTAAATGCTCAATTTTAAACAAAATAAATCACAAGGCATACAAAGAAACGGGAGTCTATGCCTTATTCTAAGGAATGAAGTAAATTTACAAAATTCATTCCTATAGAAGTCCAGTCATTAGACTTACTAGGCCAAAAATTTAAAACAACTATTTTAAGTGTGCTCAAAGAGCTAAAGAAACACATGCATAAGGAAATAAAGAAAATCAGAAAAACAAGATATTTACAAAATTAGAATCTCAATAAAGAGAAATTATAAAGAAAAGCCAAACAGAAATTATGGGGCTGAAAGGTATAATAATGGAAATAAAAATTTTACTATAGGGGTTCAACAGAAAATTTGAGCCAGTAGAAGAAAGAATCAATGAATAAGAATGAAATAATTCTTGAGAATAAGCCCATTGAAATTATTGATTCAAGAACAGAAAAAAAAAGAATGAAGAAAGGTGAACAGTGCCAAACAGGCTTGTGGGAGATCATCAAATGGAATAACATACATATTGTGGGAACAGCAGAAAGAGAGGAGACAGAGAAAGGGGTATAAAGGATATTTGAAGAAAAGTTGCCAAAATCCCTTGAAATTGATGAAAGATACGACAATATACATCCAAGAAGCTCAATGAACTCTAAGCAGCAAAACTCAGGGAGTTTATCAACAATGAATGGAAAACTGAAAAATTCACCAATATATGGAAATTAAAGAACACACTCTCAAACAACCAACAGGTCAAAGAAAAACTCACAAGAGAAATGAGAAAATACATAGAGATAAATGAAAATGAAAATGAAAATATACCATACTAAAACTTTGGGATGCAAAAAAGTAATGTTCAGAGGAAAATTTCTAAGTGTGAGCACCACATTGAATATTTTCAAATCAGTAAGCTAACTTTACACCTTAAGAGGAAGAAAAAGAGGAACAAATTAAATCCAAAGATGGCAAAAGAAAGGAAACTTTAAAAAATAGCATGATTTAAAGAGGGAATAGAAAAAAAGAGAAAATCGATGAAACAAAATGCTGGTTTTTCTAAAAGATAAAAGAGAATTGACAAACCTTTAGCTACATAGATTAAGGAAAACAACAAAAATAACTAAAATCAGAAATGAAAGTGAGGACATTACTACTTACCTTAAAAGTAAAAAGTATTTTTAAAAAAGAGCATCAACAATTGTACGAGAACAAATTAGATAACTTGATGAAATGGCCAAATTCCTAGAGACGTACACATTATCTAAACTGACACAATATGAAAACAACAGACAAATAGTATGGAAATAGACAAACATGTAAATGTTTAGTGGATTTTTAACAAAGTTGATAAGATTATGCAAAAGGGAAAGGATGGTGTTAAAGTGACACAGTGCTTAAAAAATGGAATAGTCACTTAAAAATTAAACCCTTAATTTATAGTATACACCAAAAAATTCAAAATTGATCATAGAACCAAAGATGAAAACTAAAAGTTAAAAATTTCTAGGAGGAAATCTACAGAATCACAGCATAAAATTTTTAAGAATTTGATTTGGGGAGGTGGCAGAGAAAGATGGCCAGATGAAAGCCTCCACTGATCATCTCCCCTCAGGAAAACCAAACTGAACAACTATCCACACAGAAAAGCAACTTCATGAGAACCAAAAACCAGATGAGCAATTACAATGCCTGGTTTTAACTTTGTATTACTGAAAGAGGCACTGAAGACGGTAGGAAAGACAGTCTTGAATTGTGGACACAACCCCTCCTTCATCCTGTGGCATTGGCCACATGGTACAAAGAGAATGTCTGCACCTTGTGGGAGAGAAAGCGCAGTGACTGTGGGACCTTGCTTTGCAACTCAGTGCTGCTCTGTCACAGCAGAAAGCAACATGAAGCAGAACTCAGCTGGCACAAAGGTAGCTTTTAGACCAACCATAGCCAGAAGGAAATTGCAGATTGCAGTGGTTGGAGCCTGAGTTTCAGTAAGCCTTGCTACTACTATGGGCTAAAGTGCTTTGGGATTGTAAATAAACCTGAAAGGCAGTCTAAGCCACAGGGACTGCAATTCTTGGACAAGTTCTGGTGCTGCACTGGGCTTGACCCCTGTGGGCTTGGGGTCATATCACCCAGTGAGGCACCAGCCTGAGCAGCCAAGAAAGTGCTTTTTTGACCCCTCCTCCAACCCCAGGCAGCACAGCTCACAGCTCTTGGAAAGCCACCTTCCTTCTACTTGAGGAGAGGAAAGAGTAAAGAAAACTTTGTCTTGCAACTTGGATACCAGCTCATCCACAGTAGGATAAAACACCAGGCAAGCCTTGAGGTCCCTATTCCAGGTCCTAACTCCTGGATGTCAATTCTATACACTCCCTAGGCCAGAAGGGAGCCTGCTACCTTGAAGGGAAAGACCCAGTCCTGACAGGGA